>NC_000003.12:58797878-59100909 GCF_000001405.40 Homo sapiens
AAGGACCAACAAAGCCTGGATGAAGGCACATCTGCTTATAGCACAGTATACTGAATATCTTGAGCCTACTACTGAGATCTACTGCTCAGAAAAAAAGAGACTCCTTTCAAAAGATTACTGGTCATTGGCAATGCACCTGGTCACCCATGAGCTCCAATGAAGATGTACAAGGAGATGAATATTGTTTTCATGCCAGCTAACACGACATCTATTCTGCAGCTCATGGATCAAGGAGTAATTTAAGCTTTCAAGTCTTCTTAAGAAATACATTTTGTAAGGCTATGGCTGCCATAGATAGTGATTCCTCTGATAAATCTGGGCAAAGTAAATTGAAAACTTTCTGGAAAGAATTCACCATTCCAGATGCCACTAAAAACATGCAGCATTCATGGGAGGAGGTCAAAATATCAACATGACCAGAAGTTTGGGAGAAATCAGTTCCAACCATCATGGATGACTTTCAGTGGCAGACAGAACTACAGATGTGGTGGAAATAGCAAGAGAACTAGAGTTAGAAATAAAGCTCGAAGATGTGGCTGAATTGCTGTAATCTCATGATCAAACCTGAATAGATGAGGAACTGCTTCTTATGGTAAGCAAAGAAAGTGGTTTCTTGAAATGAATCAACTCCTGGTGAAGATGATGTAAACACTAGTTGTAATGACAACAAAGTATTTGAAATATTACATACACTGAGTTGATAAAGCAGCAGCATGGTTGGGCAAGATTAACTCCAATTTTGAAAGAAGTTCTACTGTGGGTAAAATGCCATCAAACAGCATTGCATGCCACAGAGGAGTCTTTCACGAAAGGAAGAGTCCAGTGATGTGGCAAACTTCATTGTTGTCTTATTTTAAGAAACTGCCAGAGCCACCCCAACCTTCAGCAACAACCAGTCTGATCATTCAGCAGCCATCAACATCCAGACAAGACCCTCCACCAGCAAAAAGATTATGACTTATTGAAGGCTCAGTGATTGTTAGCAGTTTTTTAGCAATAAAGTATTTTCAAATTAAGGCATGTATATTGTTCTTTTTAGGCATAATGCTATTGTACACCTAACAGACTAAAGAATAGTAACATAACTTTTACATGCACTGGGAAGCTGAAAATTCTTGTGATTTTTGCTTTACTGTGGTGGTCTGAAACTCAACCTACAATATCTCTGAGGTACGCTTGTATGTATATATATAATGTGTATATATGTATGTGTATGCATATAAATAATGGTTTTTTTTTTCTATTTGCTTACCCAGATTCTATTAGCCTGGTGAGAACTGAGTACACCTTCTGCAGCAGTGGCAACCCAACCAGATTTCTAGCAAGTGGTACTCTGACTCCATAAAATACGTGTGAATAGGCCCATACAAATAAGCAACTGCCAGTAAGAATACAGGGCGAACACACTAATTCAATTTTAGAAAACTGTCTCTATTTAAAGGTGTAAAATGATATCAGATACTTTATATTCTGGATATCTTTTAAGGGATCTTTAAAACAAACTCACAAAAAAGGTTTCGTTTATTATAAATGGGAACAGGGCCAGGTACTAGAGACTCTTAAGGTAGAGAAGTATACAGGTGCTCATGGGCTCCAGCTAGTGGAATACACAGTGACGTAGCTAGTGTAGAGAGATGAGGGAAGTTCATTTTTAAGTGGTGAGATTCACTGAATTCAACACCTATTTTTTATGTGTCTCTTATGTGCCTATTTTTTATGTGTCTCCTATGTGCTTGGCAAGTATATCCCTTGAAACTAGGGAGACACTGAACAAGTGAGATAAGGTTTTCACATGCATGCAGTTTACATTCCAGCATTCGAGAAGGAGCAGTGTGTGTGTGTCTGTGTGTGTGTCTGTGTGTGTGTGTGTGTGTGTGTGTGTGTGTGTGTAGAAAACAGACAAACAAGGAAACATCAGTTAGTGGAATAATGTGATGAAAACAAAAAAGATAATGTGCTAAAGGTGACTGAGGGCTATTTTAGGGTGGACACTAAGAAAGGGCCTCCTGAGGAGAGGATGTTTATTTACGTGGAGACTCTACTGACAGGGAGAGGCAGCTGGGAAGCAACCTTGGTTAAGAGAACTCCATCCAGGCAGCACTCCTAAGTGGGGACCAAGCCTGGAGTATCAGAGGGAAAGAGAAGGAACCAGTAGAGATCGAGCAAGGTGCTCAGTGGTGTGAAACACCATCTGAGAGGTGGGCTTCCAGGGCCCCAAAAGCCAGGGTAAGCGTAATTTGGTCCTAAGGGCAATGGGAAACCACTGGGAAGTTTTACAAGGGGCAATGCCTGCATCTGATTGAGGCCTGTATACCACTTGGTTGCTAAGCAGAGAAAAGACTACAGAGGCCAGAGAAGCAGAGAAGGCAGGTTTGGAGGTTTACAGTATTTGCCCAGGTGAGAGGTGATGGCAACCTGCACTCAGACTATAGCAGTGAAAACAGAGAAAAGAGGCTGGATTTGGCATATACTATCTTTGAAGGGAACACTTGCTGAGTCTGGACATTCAGGTGTATCAGAGAGACAGAACAGGGATCACCCTTGGTTTCTGGCTTAAGCAAAGGTGGAGAGGGGTATTGATGGCATTTTCTGAGATGGAGAAGAGTGAAGAAAGAATAGATTTGCAGAAGAAAATCAAGTTACCTTTTCAATGGCTGGATTTTAGGCATGATGGCAGCTACATAGATCAGTTTGGAATTCAGGGAGGGTCAGGACTGGAGATATAAATTTGAGAGTTGTTGGAATATAGGAATATTAGAAACTATTATTAATTATTATGTCTTAAAGACTAGGGCTATTCCAAATGTTACCAGTGCCTATGGATCTTTGCATCAGCAGGGAGTGGTACATGCATGAAAATCAGATTTAAACTCTGTCCAAACCAGGGCCTCTCATCAAAACACAATTTTATCTGGTTATGAATGAAACAATATCACTGTCCTCCTATTTCCAGGAAAGGAAAGGGCAATTCTTGCAGAGACACAAGAAAAAAAATCTGAAGTTTAACTGGTTAACATTTAGGATGAAGATTTTCATTTTCCATGGTGTCCAGGTGTATACCTACTCACTTGCTCATGCCCTCCCTCAACTCAAATACTGAAAAAACTCCTGCCCTTGACAGGCGTGTGTTGAATAACACTGGGGTGGGGTGGGGTGGGGGTGGGGAGTAAGTGAGAGAGAGAGAGAGAGAGAGAGAAAGTGAGAGAGAGTAAGTTCCTGCCTTAGAGGAACTTGGTGAACAGCCAGACAGGTCATCAGTAAATGAGCTTTCAGCCAGACCCGTGGGTTCTAAATGTGGAGCATCAGGGCCCTCAAAAGAGCAGGTGTGAAATCTGTGGGAATGAGATTATGAAAGAAGAGGTAATGAATCTTTTCCTAGTTGAAGCCAACAAGAGAAATGATAAAAACAACAACTGATGCCTTTGGTTTCATAATCAAATCATTACGATTTAGTGCAAAAATCTGGATAACAGGAAACAGTAATAACACTATGTTTTGAGAAACAAAATGTTTGCTTAGTTAATAAGGAAATCCTCTGTCATGTCTTGGTTTGAAGGAGGACTATTTGTTAAAAATTCAACTTACTTGTTTTAAAATGAGCGAAACTTAATCATTTGAAGAGGAACATTAAAGTTCTGTACTTAATTTTATTAATTTATACATTTTCTCTCTTTTGTGATGGGAAACTAAAAAGCTTAATCAATAGAAGAGATGCCCATCAGGTTGCATCGTGACAACTGGAGAGGAAAAAAAAAAACAAAACGATACCACCGTGGTCAGTCTGGAGGAGCCACACGGGTTACAACGACAGGCCAGATTGCCTTGGCCAGGCCAGCTGAGCCAGCGGGAACTGAGGTCAGTGGTTATTAATCATTTGTCAAAGACTGCAGGGCTTTATCAGATAATTATGGTTATAAGTGTGTTTATCACACAAACATGTGGCAAGGCTGCAAAGGATTCAGGCCCTAACACAATCTGCAATGACATTTTTAAAAACTACAGATAAGTGACAAATCATTGAGCAAACACTTTAGAAAATCATGCCATTCTTGCTGTTTGGGTATTCTGAATTATTTTGTATATTATATATTTCCATGAACATTTAGAACCTTGCAAAGCCTTTGACTACATTCCTTCCTCCCTCCCCCTAATTTTCCAATGAGTTGTAAAAATAGCAAGTATAATCATCATTTGAAACGAAAGACTGGTTATTGACTCCATCCCTATGAACAGACAACCAGAAGGTAATCACAGCTTATTTCATAAAACTCATTCCTGAGCAGGAATATCTTACGTTTTTCTGAAGAATCTACACAAGCATCTAAATAAATGTGCCTAAGGGACAGCTCTAAACCCCACAAACCAATAGATGGCATTTTAAAATAAATGACTTGAAGCTGCAAATGGCATCCATTTTGCTCTGCTTGGCAGCATGCAAGTGTACATGTTAGGAAACGTTTCTCAACATGAATGAACTGTGAAATTGTTTCCTCCTACCCCACACTTCTCTACATTATGTGAGATTATGTTAGCCATTTCTGCACCTTGTCATAGAGGCTGTCAGTGCCCTAAGAGGCAATGTTTGGTGGACGCTGGAGGCAAGGGCCCCAGCATCTGTGATGCTGTTTAAATATCAGTTAGTGTGTTAGGAAAAAATAATGGAAAATACCACCCCATGCCTAACAGCGTAAGGGGAAATGGCTTTGTTGCAAATCTAGACACGCAAGGGAATATGATTAAGTGAACCATATATATTTCAATTCCTAGATTGTAAACTTCTGAGAAAAATGATTACTGTTGCATCCCACCTTGATCCAATGTCAAACACTGCCCTGTGAGTGAAAGTGAATGACTTTACTGTGAGAAAAACAATATATGAATATATGCAGCACTTTAGCTATTTTCATCCTAGAGCTAACTCTTTAAAACCCAAATTTGCCTGCTTATGGATTGCATATTGTCTTTAATTTTAATCCTGCACACAAAAAATTAAGAAGATAGTTATGTTGCAGAAATAAAAGTCTTTCCAGAATAAAATGTGCATGAGTGATCACTCCACTGCACTCCAGTCCAGGTGACAGAGTGAGACTGTCTCCAAAAAAAAAAAGAAAAAAAATGTGCATGAAAGACTGGGGATATTGGTTATTCTGTTACATTAATAAAGCTATTTGAAAGGTGACTCTCTAAACATGTATACATGTGGGCACTAGTTTATGTAATTTAAAAACCTTAGGATCTTCGGTCTCTGGAATAGTTGCAGATGTCTCACTGAGGCTCATGTGGCCACCACACTTTCCAGAGGTCACCATCACGCTTTCCTCTCTGTGGAAGTGCTTGTCCACACCACCCCGTCTCTGCCATATTGGCATTACTCTAATCACAGCCACACTTCATTCAGGAAACCAAGAGCCTACCTGCTTTTTATGTATTGTTCAGAGCCTCCATACCAGAATTTTCAATCACGGGTTCAAGTTAGATGTTCATTTATCCAACAGGGTGGACTTCAGAGAATTACCTTCTCATTTCTTATATTTTTTCATATTAATTATCAATATCCCTTAAATTTAAAGTTCTATATTTTAGGGTCTAAAGCATTGGGATACTAATTGTAAGAAATACAATAAATACAGATCTTAAGAAGAATCAGAACTTTCAATTTTAAGTTAAATTATATGCGTTACATGATTCAATTTATTCCATTTTTATATGATGATATATACTGACCTCATAATTTTATCATCTTCTGTATTTATGGCCCAATAATGCCTTCCTGCCAATTCTCCTAAGCTGTTGAATTTATGAGCCAAGAGCCAAGTCACATCATCTGCAGGTTTTCTGAACAGTTATATGATAATTTTTTAGGAAACTGGTAGATAACTTGCTGGTAAATGGGGTTGGTGGTATTTAATTTTTGGCTTTAGAATTTGTTCTTTTTATTTCATTATGCAGAAGTGTAAATTAATTTTTCTTAAATAAATAAACATTTAATTGGTTGCATAAGATAATGCTGTCTAACTGGTGAATTATTTCATATTCTATCTTGACAGTATATCTTTGGAAATCAATTTGTAAAAGAGATATTTAAAGTTGCATATTACCACATCTAGATATTCATTCATTCAATTATCTAGCCAATATTTATGAAGTATGCTTTCTATATAGGACAATGAAATAAAAGTAGTGTGATCCTTCAATGGCGAGACTGGTTTATGAAGTAAAGGCTATAATGAGTCTTGTAAAAGTCACAGAATCATAAAGTTGGAATTGGCCTCAGAGAGCATGCAACTCAACTCCTTTCTTTTACACATGAGGGTATTCATATTATTAAAAAGGTCTGGAGAGGTCAGAGGCTTGTCTGAGATTATATACTATGTTATAGAATTAGGATGAGAATTAGGTCCCCTTTCTCCTTTTATTGAAACAAATGGCTCCACTGTCTAACATATCTTACTATCACTCTCATTTGTTCAGACTACAAATTAGTTCTTTTTTTTTTTTTTTTGAGACAGAGTCTCACTCTGTCGCCCAGGCTGGAGTGCAGTTGTGTGATCTCGGCCCACTGTAACCTCTGCTTCCTGGGTTCAAGAGATTCTTGTGCCTCAGCCTCCTGAGTAGCTGGGATTATAGGCATATGCCACCACACCCTGCTAATTTTTGTATTTTTATTAGAGATGTGGTTTCACCATGTTGGCTAGTCTTGTCTCAAACTCCTGATTTCAGGTGATCCATCTGCCTTAGTCTCCCAAAGTGCTGGGATTATAGGCATGAGCCACCATGCCTGGCCCAAATTCTTAACTTGTTATAATTTGGACCACAGTTGGATTTCCAGTTACCTTGAAAGCTTACTCACATATAGAAAAAATAATTTGTTAGGCAAATCTAGATGAGCTGCAAGATTCTTACTGACGTGTTCACCTATTGAGAGATAGCTAATTCTAAGAATGTTAAAATACCTTCTTATATATATTGAAATTCTAACCTCAGTTTTAAACTCTTTAGTGTATCTATTTGTGATAGTGACAATTCACCCTACTAGGTAACATGAACAAATAACCAGAGCAGGTGTACAGAATAGAAACATTTAGAAGAGATTACTAGTAAAGAACATTTACTCATCTGTGTCATGAATATTCTGGGTCCCAATAAAAGTCCTGTAAACCACTTACGTGGTTTCCTGGAAGCCATGTTCATTTTTCATGGCTTGGTTCATTGTTTATTGCTGACTGGACCAGAATGGGCACTTGGCTCAAGCTACACTAATCACATTCTCTTTCTTGAAAAAGGAAGTTCAGACGTAGTCTGTTAGCCTCTACATGTATATTGAACTGTGATATGTAAACTCAAGAGCTGTCAAATGGCCATATGTGGACTATGGAGCAGAGAAAGCTGGTCCTTAGAGAGAAGAATGGAGCAGATGGGAGGAAGCAAGCAGAGATGGAGTGAAGAGACTGCCTGGCTGCCTCTTGCCTTTCTAGTTCCTAGTTTCAGGCCCCTCCTGAGGCCTGGCGGCCTTTGGGTTCTAGAATACAGCCCCGTATCTTACTTAACAACCACCTGCCAAACCGCCTTTCTTACTCTTTCTCCCTATCTCTTTCTGTCTTTTAATACTAGCTAAGCTGTTTTGTAGTGTGTAACCAAAGAGTCTTAATTCAGACACCATGCAATAGTTAACACACCCTCCATAGGACAGCCCACAGTACAGGTCAGATGCGTTTGGATAATGAGGTGCATCACAGTAACTAAGACTTTGTAGGTAGGCTCACGATATATGGACTTTTCAATAATTTCCTAATATATGATAAATACTGATAAGGTAATACTAATTTATATGGATAAACTAGCTTATATACTTATTTATCAGAAAGTTGTAGAATAATACAGCATGTATTTCAAAACTCAAATTCAGATCCACTTGTTCCTAATGAACCAAAAATAATGAGGTTTTTCCTTAGTGACAAATGACTCATACACCAATGACATTTTTGAAATAAAATAATTTTGAGATTATAAACTTTTAAAGTTATGAAAAAAGAGACTGGTCATTTGAACTTTTATAAGCTATCTTGATAAATTTAAGGGCACCAGATGATATAAAAAAGATTTATGCCTAAAATTTACCAAACATCAGACACCTATTAAAATAAAATAGTTATGCAAATAAAGTAATGAATAAATTAACACTTAGTGAGAACTTGCCATGTGCCAAGAACTGTTCTAAGAATTTTTCATTTGAATCTTTCCAAAATACTATGAAGTAATTCTTATGCCTGAATTACATGGAGTCAAATGACTTACCCAAAATTCCACAGCTAGTAAAAGGTAGATATTTAAACCTAGGTAGACTGTTACCACTATTCTAAAGTCCAAAGAAGACAAGTAGATGAACTAGGACTTTGAAAGAACATAAGTTTGGAAGCTAGAAGTTTTGGAAAACAATTTCAGAAAACCAAGAAAAATGTACAATCTTCCAACTAAGTTTTTTTTTTTCTTAAATGTAGATTATTAATGATTCTTACCGGGGATTAGAAGGAGAAGGTGGGTTCATTTCTTTCTGATAGTGGCGACCCTGGTTGACAGGCTGGAAAAGACAAAACATTTGTGAATGTTTAATCAGCACAAAGCTGTTTACATAGACATTCACATGCACTCTCATTACTGTAACTGTTTCCTCAGACACAACCCACAAGAAGGGTATGGGTGGGAGGGCAGCCAAGACGGCCGAATAGGAACAGCTCCAGTGTACAGCTCCCAGCGTGAGCGATGCAGAAGACGGGTGATTTCTGCATTTCCACCTGAGGTACCGGGTTCATCTCACTAGGGAGTGCCAGATAGTGGGTGCAGGACAGTGGGTGCAGCGCACCGTGTGCGAGCCGAAGCAGGGCGAAGCATTGCCTCACTCGGGAAGCGCAAGGGATCAGGGAGTTCCCTTTCCTAGTCAAAGAAAGGGGTGACAGATGGCACCTGGAAAATCGGGTCACTCCCACCCTAATACTGCACTTTTCCAACGGGCTTAAAAAACGGCGCACCAGGAGATTATATCCCGCACATGGCTTGAAGGGTCCTACGCCCACGGAGTCTCACTGACTGCTAGCACAGCAGTCTGAGATCAAACTGCAAGGCGGCAGTGAGGCTGGGGGAGGGGTGCCCGCCATTGCCCAGACTTGCTTAGGTAAACAAAGCAGCCAGGAAGCTCGACCTGGGTGGAGCCCACCACAACTCAAGGAGGCCTGCCTGCCTCTGTAGGCTCCACCTCTGGGGGCGGGGCACAGACAAAAAGACAGCAGTAACCTCTGCAGACGTAAGTGTCCCTGTCTGACAGCTTTGAAGAGAGCAGTGGTTCTCCCAGCACGCAGCTGGAGATCTGAGAATGGGCAGACTGCCTCCTCAAGTGGGTCCCTGACCCCTGACCTCCAAGCAGCCTAACTGGGAGGCACCCCCCAGTAGGGGCAGACTGACACTTCACACGGGCGGGTACTCCTCTGAGATAAAACTTCCAGAGGAACGATCAGACAGCAGCATTCGTGGTTCATGAAAATCCGCTGTTCTGCAGCCACCGCTGCGGATACCCAGGCAAATAGGGTCTGGAGTGGACCTCTAGCAAACTCCAACAGACCTGCAGCTGAGGGTCCTGTCTGTTAGAAGGAAAACTAACAAACAGAAAGGACATCCATACCAAAACCCCATCTGTACATCACCATCATCAAAGACCAAAAGTAGATAAAACCACAAAGATGGGGAAAAAACAGAGCACAAAAACTGGAAACTCTAAAAAGCAGAGCGCGTCTCCTCATCCAAAGGAACGCAGTTCCTCAGCAACGGAACAAAGCTGGATGGAGAATGACTTTGACGAGTTGCGAGAAGAAGGCTTCAGATGATCAAACTACTCCGAGCTACAGGAGGAAATTCAAACCAAAGGCAAAGAAGTTAAAAACTTTGAAAAAAATTTAGAAGAATGTATAACTAGAATAACCAATACAGAGAAGTGCTTAAAGGAGCTGATGGAGCTGAAAGCCAAGGCTCGAGAACTACGTGAAGAATGTAGAAGCCTCAGGAGCCCATGTGATCAACTGGAAGAAAGGGTATCAGTGATGGAAGATGAAATGAATGAAATGAAGTGAGATGGGAAGTTTAGAGAAAAAAGAATAAAAAGAAATGAACAAAGCCTCCAAGAAATATGGGACTACGTGAAAAGACCAAATCTATGTATGATTGGTGTACTTGAAAGTGACAGGGAGAATGGAACCAAGTTGGAAAACACTCTGCAAGATATTATCCAGGAGAACTTCCCCAATCTAGCAAGGCAGGCTAACATTCAGATTCAGGAAATACAGAGAACGCCACAAAGACACTCCTCCAGAAGAGCAACTCCAAGACACATAATTGTCAGATTCACCAAAGTTGAAATGAAGGAAAAAATGTTAAGGGCAGCCAGAGAGAAAGGTCGGGGTACCCACAAAGGGAAGCCCATCAGACTAACAGCTGATCTCTCAGCAGAAATTCTACAAGCCAGAAAAGAGTGGGGACCAATATTCAACATTCTTAAAGAAAAGAATTTTCAACCCAGAATTTCATATCCAGCCAAACTAAGCTTCATAAGTGAAGGAGAAATAAAATCCTTTACAGACAAGCAAATGCTGAGACATTTTGTCACCACCAGCCCTGCCCTAAAAGAGCTCCTGAAGGAACCGCTAAACATGGAAAGGACCAACCAGTACCAGCCACTGCAAAATCATGCCAAATTGTAAAGACCATCGAGGCTAGGAAGAAACTCCATCAACTAATGAGCAAAATAACCAGCTAACATCATAATGACAGGATCAAATTCACACATAACTATATTAACCTTAAATGTAAATGGACTAAATGCTCCAATTAAAAGACACAGACTGGCAAATTGGATAAAGAGTCAAGACCCATCAGTGTGCTGTATTCAGGAAACCCATCTCACATGCAGAGACACACATAGGCTCAAAATAAGAGGATGGAGGAAGATCTACCAAGCAAACGGAAAACAAAAAAAGGCAGGGGTTGCAATCCTAGTCTCTGACAAAACAGACTTTAAACCAACAAAGATCAAAAGAGACAAAGAAGGCCATTACATAATGGTAAAGGGATGAATTCAACAAGAAGAGCTAACTATCCTAAATATATATGCACCCAATACAGGAGCACCCAGATTCATAAAGCAAGTCCTGAGTGACCTACAAAGAGACTTAGACTCCCACACAATAATAATGGGAGACTTTAGCACCCCACTGTCAACATTAGACAGAAAGTTAACAAGGATACCCAGGAATTGAACTCAGCTCTGCACCAAGCGGACCTAATAGACATCTACAGAACTCTCCACCCCAAATCAACAGAATATACATTTTTTTCAGCACCACACCACACCTATTCCAAAATTGACCCCATACTGGGAAGTAAAGCTCTCCTCAGCAAATGTAAAAGAACAGAAATTATAATAAATTGTCTCTCAGACCACAGTGCAATCAAACTAGAACTCAGGATTAAGAAACTCACTTAAAACCGCTCAACTACATGGAAACTGAACAACCTGCTCCTGAATGACTACTGGGTACATAACGAAATGAAGGCAGAAATAAAGATGTTCTTTGAAACCAACGAGAACAAAGACATAACATACCAGAATCTCTGGGACGCATTCAAAGCAGTGTGTAGAGGGAAATTTATAGCACTAAATGCCCACAAGAGAAAGCAGGAAAGATCCAAAATTGACACCCTAACATCACAATTAAAAGAACTAGAAAAGCAAGAGCAAACACATACGAAAGCTAGCAGAAGGCAAGACATAACTAAAATCAGAGCAGGACTGAGGGAAATAGAAACACAAAAAACGCTTTCAAAAATTAATGAATCCAGGAGCTGGTTTTTTGAAAGGATCAACAAAATTGATAGACCTCCAGCAAGACTAATAAAGAAAAAAAGAGAGAAGAATCAAATAGACACAATAAAAAATGATAAAGGGGATATCACCACCGATCCCTCAGAAATACAAACTACCATCAGGGAATAGTACAAAAACCTCCACGCAAATAAACTAGAAAATCTAGAAGAAATGGATAAATTCCTGGACACATACACCATCCCACGACTAAACCAGGAAGAAGTTGAATCTCTGAATAGACCAATAACAGGCTCTGAAATTGTGGCAATAATCAATAGCTTACCAATCAAAAAGAATCCAGGACCAGATGGACTCACAGCCGAATTCTATCAGAGGTACAAGGAGGAACTGGTACCATTCCTTCTGAAACTATTCCAATCAATAGAAAAAGAGGGAATCCTCCCTAACTCATTTTATGAGGCCAGCATCATCCTGATACCAAAGTTGGGCAGAGACACAACCAAAAAAGAGAATTTTAGACCAATATCCTTGATGAACATTGATGCAAAAATCCTCAATAAAATACTGGCAAACCAAATCCAGCAGCATATCAAAAAGCTTATCCACCATGATCAAGTGGGCTTCATCCCTGGGATGCAAGGCTGGTTCAATATACGCAAATCAATAAATGTAATCCAGCATATAAACAGAACTGAAGACAAAAACCACATCATAATCCCAATAGATGCAGAAAAGGCCTCTGACAAAATTCAACAACCCTCCATGCTAAAAACTCTCAATAAATTAGGTATTGATGGGACGTATTTCAAAATAATAAGAGCTATCTATGACAAACCCACAGCCAGTATCATACTGAATGGGCAAAAACTGGAAGCATTCCCTTTGAAAACTGGCACAAGACAGGGATGCCCTCTCTCACCACTCCTATTCAACATAGTGTTGGAAGTTCTGGCCAGGGCAATTAGGCAGGAGAAGAAAATAAAGGGTATTCAATTAGGAAAAGAGGAAGTCAAATTGTCCCTGTTTGCAGATGACATGATTGTATATCTAGAAAACCCCATTGTCTCAGTCCAAAATCTCCTTAAGCTGATAAGCAACTTCAGCAAAGTCTCAGGATACAAAATCAATGTACAAAAATCACAAGCATTCTTATACACCAATAACAGGCAAACAGAGAGCCAAATCATGAGTGAACTCCCATGCACAATTGCTTCAAAGAGAAGAAAATACCTAGGAATCCAACTTACAAGGGATGTGAAGGACCTCTTCAAGGAGTACTACAAATCACTGCTCAGTGAAATAAAAGAGGACACAAACAAATGGAACAACATTCCATGCTCATGGGTAGGAAGAATCAATATCGTGAAAATGGCCATACTGCCCAAGGTAATTTATAGATGCAATGCCATCCCCATCAAGCTACCAATGACTTTCTTCACAGAATTGGAAAAAACTACTTTAAAGTTCATACGGAACCAAAAAAGAGCCCGCATTGCCAAGTCCATCCTAAGCCAAAAGAACAAAGCTGGAGGCATCACGTTACCTGACTGCAAAGTATACTACAAGGCTACAGTAACCAAAACAGCATGGTACTGGTACCAAAACAGAGATATAGATCAATGGAACAGAACAGAGCCCTCAGAAATAACGCCGCATATCTACAACTATCTGATCTTTGACAAACCTGAGAAAAACAAGCAATGGGGAAAGGATTCCCTATTTAATAAATGGTGCTGGGAAAACTGGCTAGCCATATGTAGAAAGTTGAAACTGGATTCCTTCCTTATACCTTATAAAAAAATTAATTCAAGATGGATTAAAGACTTAAACGTTAGACCTAAAACCATAAAAACCCTAGAAGAAAACCTAGGCATTACCATTCAGGACATAGGCATGGGCAAGGACTTCATGTCTAAAACACCAAAGTCAATGGCAACAAAAGCCAAAATTGACAAATGGGATCTAATTAAACTAAAGAGCTTCTGCATAGCAAAAGAAACTACCATCAGAGTGAACAGACAACCTACAAAATGGGAGAAAATTTTCGCAACCTGCTCATCTGACAAAGGGCTAATATCCAGAATCTACAATGAGCCCAAACAAATTTACAAGAAAAAAAGAAACGACCCCATCAAAAAGTGGGCGAAGGACATGAACAGACACTTCTCAAAAGAGACATTTATGCAGCCAAAAAACACATGAAAAAATGCTTACCATCACTGGCCATCAGAGAAATGCAAATCAAAACCACAATGAGATACCATCTCACACCAGTTAGAATGGCAATCATTAAAAAGTCAGGAAACAACAGGTGCTGGAGAGGATGTGGAGAAATAGGAACACTTTTACACTGTTGCTGGGACTGTAAACTAGCTCGACCATTGTGGAAGTCAGTGTGGCGATTCCTTAGGGATCTAGAACTAGAAATACCATTTGACCCAGCCATCCCATTACTGGGTATATACCCAAAGGACTATAAATCATGCTGCTATAAAGACACATGCACACGTATGTTTATTGCGGCTCTATTCACAATAGCAAAGACTTGGAACCAACCCAAATGTCCAACAATGATAGAATGGATTAAGAAATTGTGGCACATAAACACCATGGAATACTATGCAGCCATAAAAAATGATGAGTTCATGTCCTTTGTAGGGACATGGATGAAATTGGAAATCATCATTCTCAGTAAACTATCGCAAGAACAAAAAACCAAACACCGCATATTCTCAGTCATAGGTGGGAAATGAACAATGAGAACACATGGACACAGGAAGGGGAACATCACAGTCTGGGGACTGTTGTGGGGTGGGGGGAGCGGGGAGGGATAGCATTAGGAGATATAACTAATGCTAAATGACGAGTTAATGGGTGCAGCACACCAGCATGGCACATGTATACATGTGTAACTAACCTGCACATTGTGCACATGTACTCTAAAACTTAAAGTATAATAATAGTAAAATAAAATAAAAAAAGAAAAGAAGGGTATGGGTTTATTTTACAGATCCAGCAAATAGCAGAGTGGTATAAATGAGAAATCACATTTATCATTATTATTATTTTAGTGGCCCAGTCATTGGACCTCATAGCATCTATGATGTAATTAAAGTTCATGTATTGAAATTTTCCTCTTTGTGGAATTTTTATGCTGTTAACATTGGTTGATATTTTCAGACAGGAAAACAAAACCAAACAAGATATCTCATGGAACTAATGCTGCAGTTCAACCATCATTAATAACAGAAACCCAGACACACAGAAAATACATTTAGTCTCAGTGTTAGTAAGTGTGTAAATATAATTTCTATTACCACGAATGAGAATTACACATGTAAATCTTAGGTCAAGGCAGTCATTTTCCCCAAGTGTATAACACAACCTCAAGTACTGATCAATAAGCTGAAAAAAATGATGCCAATACCTAACAAAAATGTGAAATCTCAAATTTTCCCTCCACAGGAAACCTTTCAGTTACATTTCAAAACATAGCTGAACAACTATATCTCATGTAGCCCTAAACACTTGCTTCCAATGGAACTTGATCTTTTTCCTTTGTTCTATAACGGGAAAAAATTCCATCCTCTTTTTGAACATCAGCTCTAAGTATTTATGTGGTTAGCAACAATGCGATTCTAATAAGAAATCATTTTCAACATTCTCATTTTATTACAATTTAGAGTTTGCTATACATGTTTAAATTGCATTCAAAGAGCTTTAGCTACTTCCAAACCCAGTGGGGTTGGTGTTAAGGGTTTCTCACCCATCATAATGTGGCCCCTGACTGAGGAGAACAACGTAGCCATGGTGCCTGTATATACAGAGCTCATACTCCTTAGCTTCCAGATATTTCTCATTAAAAGAAGTCTCAAAATATTAATGATGTAGGTGATGGGAATTCTTCAGAGTAAACTGTCTTCCTCTATAAATTATCTCTTGGAAGTGTTCCTTTAATTTAAATCAAACACCCCATCTGATAATCACAGTCACTTAGCCTGACTACCTGTTATGCACCATGAATTTAAATGTACTCAGATACTTTGGTAATTGAACCAATATCAATGCATCACCATTTCAGTAATAAGAAACAACAGCTGGGAGAACAGTGGAAGGAAAAACATGTCATAAGACATATTTGATCTCACTAGAGAAATAAGACTTTCGGCAATTTGCAAGTGAAATTTGGTTCTATGATTTAGGCTTTATTATTTCACAGCAAAAAAGAAATTAGCAAGCAAAGGGCCTAACAGGTTCTCTGGACAAACTCACACTGGTATAGAAATACTCCCAATAACAAATTCATTGGTATTCGTCCAGTATTTCAGCTGTACTCAGGTCTCCAGTGAATGGACCTCTGCCTATTTATTTTTAGAGGCATTTCCATGACTCTCTAAGCATCACAGACCTGATATTCAGGTGAATTTCCATTTCTTAATTTTATACTATTAATTCTACTTACACCAATGCCCAAACCTCTATTCCAAATGACTTACTCCATCCCTTGGAAAATAGAAGTGGTTACAGAATCCTATCTTGTTAGTGACTCAGCCCCTCCTTGCTTTAGACTAAAAACTCTCAATAAATTAGGTATTGATGGGACGTATTTCAAAATAATAAGAGCTATCTATGACAAACCCACAGCCAGTATCATACTGAATGGGCAAAAACTGGAAGCATTCCCTTTGAAAACTGGCACAAGACAGGGATGCCCTCTCTCACCACTCCTATTCAACATAGTGTTGGAAGTTCTGGCCAGGGCAATTAGGCAGGAGAAGGAAATAAAGGGTATTCAATTAGGAAAAGAGGAAGTCAAATTGTCTCTGTTTGCAGATGACATGATTGTATATCTAGAAAACCCCATTGTCTCAGCCCAAAATCTCCTTAAGCTGATAATCAACTTCAGCAAAGTCTCAGGATACAAAATCAATGTACAAAAATCACAAGCATTCTGATACACCAACAACAGACAAACAGAGAGCCAAATCATGAGTGAACTCCCATTCACAATTGCTTCAAAGAGAAGAAAATACCTAGGAATCCAACCTACAAGGGATGTGAAGGACCTCTTCAAGGAGAACTACAAACCACTGCTCAAGGAAATAAAAGAGGATACAAACAAATGGAAGAACATTCCATGCTCATGGGTAGGAAGAATCAATATCGTGAAAATGGCCATACTGCCCAAGGTAATTTATAGATTCAATGCCATCCCCATCAAGCTACCAATGACTTTCTTCACAGAATTGGAAAAAACTACTTTAAAGTTCATATGGAACCAAAAAAGAGCCCGCATCGCCAAAGCAATCCTAAGCCAAAAGAACAAAGCTGGAGGCATCACACTACCTGACTTCAAACTATACTACAAGGCTACAGTAACCAAAACAGCATGGTACTGGTACCAAAACAGAGATATAGATCAATGGAACAGAACACAGCCCTCAGAAATAACGCTGCATATCTACAACTATCTAATCTTTGACAAACCTGAGAAAAACAAGCAATGGGGAAAGGATTCCCTATTTAATAAATGGTGCTGGGAAAACTGGCTAGCCATATGTAGAAAGCTGAAACTGGATCCCTTCCTTACACCTTATACAAAAATCAATTCAAGATGGATTAAAGACTTAAACGTTAGACCTAAAACCATAAAAACCCTAGAAGAAAACCTAGGCATTACCATTCAGGACATAGGCATGGGCAAGGACTTCATGTCTAAAACACCAAAAGCAATGGCAACAAAAGCCAAAATTGACAAATGGGATCTAATTAAACTAAAGACCTTCTGCACAGCAAAAGAAACTACCATCAGAGTGAACAGGCAACCTACAAAATGGGAGAAAATTTTCACAACCTGCTCATCTGACAAAGGGCTAATATCCAGAATCTACAATGAACTCAAACAAATTTACAAGAAAAAAAACAAACAACCCCATCAAAAAGTGGGCGAAGGACATGAACAGACACTTCTCAAAAGAAGACATTTATGCAGCCAAAAAACACATGAAAAAATGCTCATCATCACTGGCCATCAGAGAAATGCAAATCAAAACCACAATGAGATACCATCTCACACCAGTTAGAATGGCAATCATTAAAAAGTCAGGAAACAACAGGTGCTGGAGAGGATGTGGAGAAATAGGAACACTTTTACACTGTTGCTGGGACTGTAAACTAGTTCAACCATTGTGGAAGTCAGTGTGGCGACTCCTCAGGGATCTAGAACTGGAAATATCATTTGACCCAGCCATCCCATTACTGGGTATATACCCAAAGGACTATAAATCATGCTGCTATAAAGACACATGCACACGTATATTTATTGTGGCATTATTCACAATAGCAAAGACTGGGAACCAACCCAAATGTCCAACAATGATAGACTGGATTAAGAAAATGTGGCACACATACACCATGGAATACTATGCAGCCATAAAAAATGATGAGTTCATGTCCTTTGTAGGGACATGGATGAGACTGGAAATCATCATTCTCAGTAAACTATCGCAAGAACAAAAAACCAAACACCGCGGGGAGGAGCCAAGATGGCCGAATAGGAACAGCTCTGGTCTACAGCTCCCAGAGTGAGCGACGCAGAAGACGGGTGACTTCTGCATTTCCATCTGAGGTACCGGGTTTATCTCACTAGGGAGTGCCAGACAGTGGGCACAGGCCAGTGGGTGCGTGCACCGTGCGCGAGCCGAAGCAGGGCGAGGCATTGCCTCACCTGGGAAGCGCAAGGGGTCAGGGAGTTCCCTTTCCGAGTCAAAGAAAGGGGTGACGGACGCATCTGGAAAATCGGGTGACTCCCACCCGAATATTGCACTTTTCAGACCGGCTTAAAAAACGGTGAACCACGAGATTATATCCCACACCTGGCTCGAGGGTCCTACGCCCACGGAATCTTGCTGATTGCTAGCACAGCAGTCTGAGATCAAACTGCAAGGTGGAAGCGAGGCTGGGGGAGGGGCGCCCGCCATTGCCCAGGCTTGCTTAGGTAAACAAAGCAGCCAGGAAGCTCGAACTGGGTGGAGCCCACCACAGCTCAAGGAGGCCTGCCTGCCTCTGTAGGCTCCACCTCTGGGGGCAGGGCACAGACAAACAAAAAGACAGCAGTAACCTCTGCAGACTTAAGTGTCCCTGTCTGACAGCTTGGAAGAGAGCAGTGGTTCTCCCAGCACGCAGCTGGAGATCTGAGAACCAGCAGACTGCCTCCTCAAGTGGGTCCCTGGCCCCTGACCCCCGAGCAGCCTAACTGGGAGGCACCCCCCAGCAGCAGCACACTGACACCTCACACGGCAGGGTATTCCAACAGACCTGCAGCTGAGGGTCTTGTCTGTTAGAAGGAAAACTAACAAACAGAAAGGACATCCACACCGAAAACCCATCTGTACATCACCATCATCAAAGACCAAAAGTAGATAAAACCACAAAGATGGGGAAAAAACAGAACAGAAAAACTGGAAACTCTAAAACGCAGAGCGCCTCTCTTCCTCCAAAGGAACGCAGTTCCTCAAGAGCAACGGAACAAAGCTGGATGGAGAATGACTTTGATGAGCTGAGAGAAGAAAGCTTCAGACGATCAAATTACTCTGAGCTATGGGAGGACATTCAAACCAAAGGCAAAGAAGTTGAAAACTTCGAAAAAAATTTAGAAGAATGTATAACTAGAATAACCAATACAGAGAAGTGCTTAAAGGAGCTGATGGAGCTGAAAACCAAGGCTCGAGAACTACGTGAAGAATGCAGAAGCCTCAGGAGCCGATGCGATCAACTGGAAGAAAGGGTATCAGCAATGGAAGATGAAATGAATGAAATGAAGCGAGAAGGGAAGTTTAGAGAAAAAAGAATAAAAAGAAATGAGCAAAGCCTCCAAGAAATATGGGACTATGTGAAAAGACCAAATCTACGTCTGATTGGTGTACCTGAAAGTGATGGGGAGAATGGAACCAAGTTGGAAAACACTCTGCAGGATATTATCCAGGAGAACTTCCCCAATCTAGAAAGGCAGGCCAACGTTCAGATTCAGGAAATACAGAGAATGCCACAAAGATACTCCTCAAGAAGAGCAACTTCAAGACACATAATTGTCAGATTCACCAAAGTTGAAATGAAGGAAAAAATGTTAAGGGCAGCCAGAGAGAAAGGTCGGGTTACCCTCAAAGGGAAGCCCATCAGACTAACAGCGGATCTCTCGGCAGAAACTCTACAAGCCAGAAGAGAGTGGGAGCCAATATTCAACATTCTTAAAGAAAAGAATTTTCAACCCAGAATTTCATATCCAGCCAAACTAAGCTTCATAAGTGAAGGAGAAATAAAATACTTCACAGACAAGCAAATGCTGAGAGATTTTGTCACCACCAGGCCTGCCCTAAAAGAGCTCCTGAAGGAAGCGCTAAACATGGAAAGGAACAACCGGTACCAGCCGCTGCAAAATCATGCCAAAATGTAAAGACCATCGAGACTAGAAAGAAACTGCATCGACTAATGAGCAAAATCACCAGCTAACATCATAATGACAGGATCAAATTCACACATAACAATATTAACTTTAAATGTAAATGGACTAAATGCTCCAATTAAAAGACACAGACTGGCAAATTGGATAAAGAGTCAAGACCCATCAGTGTGCTGTATTCAGGAAACCCATCTCACGTGCAGAGACACAGATAGGCTCAAAATAAAAGGATGGAGGAAGATCTACCAAGCAAATGGAAAACTGAAAAAGGCAGGGGTTGCAATCCTAGTCTCTGATAAAACAGACTTTAAACCAACAAAGATCAAAAGAGACAAAGAAGGCCATTACATAATGGTAAAGGGATCAATTCAACAAGAAGAGCTAACTAACCTAAATATATATGCACCCAATACAGGAGCACCCAGATTCATAAAGCAAGTCCTGAGTGACCTACAAAGAGACTTAGACTCCCACACATTAATAATGGGAGACTTTAACACCCCACTGTCAACATTAGACAGATCAACGAGACAGAAAGTCAACAAGGATACCCAGGAATTGAACTCAGCTCTGCACCAAGCGGACCTAATAGACATCTACAGAACTCTCCACCCCAAATCAACAGAATATACATTTTTTTCAGCACCACACCACACCTATTCCAAAATTGACCACATACTGGGAAGTAAAGCTCTCCTCAGCAAATGTAAAAGAACAGAAATTATAACAAACTATCTCTCAGACCACAGTGCAATCAAACTAGAACTCAGGATTAAGAATCTCACTCAAACCCGCTCAACTACGTGGAAACTGAACAACCTGCTCCTGAATGACTACTGGGTACATAACGAAATGAAGGCAGAAATAAAGATGTTCTTTGAAACCAACGAGAACAAAGACACAACATACCAGAATCTCTGGGACGCATTCAAAGCAATGTGTAGAGGGAAATTTATAGCACTAAATGCCCACAAGAGAAAGCAGGAAAGATCCAAAATTGACACCCTAACATCACAATTAAAAGAACTAGAAAAGCAAGAGCAAACACATTCAAAAGCTAGCAGAAGGCAAGAGATAACTAACATAAGAGCAGAACTGAAGGAAATAGAGACACAAAAAACCCTTCAAAAAATCAATGAATCCAGGAGCTGGTTTTTTGAAAGGATCAACAAAATTGATAGACCTCCAGCAAGACTAATAAAGAAAAAAAGAGAGAAGAATCAAATAGACACAATAAAAAATGATAAAGGGGATATCACCACCGATCCCACAGAAATACAAACTACCATCAGAGAATACTACAAACACCTCTACGCAAATAAACTAGAAAATCTAGAAGAAATGGATAAATTCCTCAACACATACACTCTCCCAAGACTAAACCAGGAAGAAGTTGAATCTCTGAATAGACCAATAACAGGATCTGAAATTGTGGCAATAATCAATAGCTTACCAACCAAAAAGAGTCCAGGACCAGATGGATTCACAGCCGAATTCTACCAGAGGTACAAGGAGGAACGGGTACCATTCCTTCTGAAACTATTCCAATCAATAGAAAAAGAGGGAATCCTCCCTAACTCATTTTATGAGGCCAGCATCATCCTGATACCAAAGCCGGGCAGAGACACAGCCAAAAAAGAGAATTTTAGACCAATATCCTTGATGAACATTGATGCAAAAATCCTCAATAAAATACTGGCAAAACGAATCCAGCAGCACATCAAAAAGCTTATCCACCATGATCAAGTGGGCTTCATCCCTGGGATGCAAGGCTGGTTCAATATACGCAAATCAATAAATGTAATCCAGCATATAAACAGAGCCAAAGACAAAAACCACATGATTATCTCAATAGATGCAGAAAAAGCCTTTGACAAAATTCAACAACCCTTCATGCTAAGAACTCTGAATAAATTAGGTATTGATGGGACATATTTCAAAATAATAAGAGCTATCTATGACAAACCCACAGCCAATATCATACTGAATGGGAAAAAACTGGAAGCATTCCCTTTGAAAACTGGCACAAGACAGGGATGCCCTCTCTCACCACTCCTATTCAACATAGTGTTGGAAGTTCTGGCCAGGGCAATGAGGCAGGAGAAGGAAATAAAGGGTATTCAATTAGGAAAAGAGGAAGTCAAATTGTCCCTGTTTGCAGACGACATGATTGTATATCTAGAAAACCCCATTGTCTCAGCCCAAAATCTCCTTAAGCTGATAAGCAACTTCAGCAAAGTCTCAGGATACAAAATCAATGTACAAAAATCACAAGCATTCTGATACACCAACAACAGACAAACAGAGAGCCAAATCATGAGTGAACTCCCATTCACAATTGCTTCAAAGAGAAGAAAATACCTAGGAATCCAACTTACAAGGGATGTGAAGGACCTCTTCAGGGAGAACTACAAACCACTGCTCAAGGAAATAAAAGAAGATACAAACAAATGGAAGAACATTCCATGCTCATGGGTAGGAAGAATCAATATCGTGAAAATGGCCATACTGCCCAAGGTAATTTACAGATTCAATGCCATCCCCATCAAGCTACCAATGACTTTCTTCACAGAATTGGAAAAAACTACTTTAAAGTTCATATGGAACCAAAAAAGAGCCCGCATCGCCAAGTCAATCCTAAGCCAAAAGAAGAAAGCTGGAGCCATCACACTACCTGACTTCAAACTATACTACAAGGCTACAGTAACCAAAACAGCATGGTACTGGTACCAAAACAGAGATATAGATCAATGGAACAGAATAGAGCCCTCAGAAATAACGCCACATATCTACAATTATCTGATCTTTGACAAACCTGAGAAAAACAAGCAATGGGGAAAGGATTCCCTATTTAATAAATGGTGCTGGGAAAACTGGCTAGCCATATGTAGAAAGCTGAAACTGGATCCCTTCCTTACACCTTATATAAAAATCAATTCAAGATGGATTAAAGATTTAAACGTTAGACCTAAAACCATAAAAACCCTAGAAGAAAACCTAGGCATTACCATTCAGGACATAGGCATGGGCAAGGACTTCATGTACAAAACAACAAAAGCAATGGCAACAAAAGACAAAATTGACAAATGGGATCTAGTTAAACTAAAGAGCTTCTGCACAGCAAAAGAAACTACCATCAGAGTGAACAGGCAACCTACAAAATGGGAGAAAATTTTTGCAACCTACTCATCTGACAAAGGGCTAATATCCAGAATCTACAATGAACACAAACAAATTCACAAGAAAAAAACAAACAACCCCATCAAAAAGTGGGCAAAGGACATGAACAGACACTTCTCAAAAGAAGACATTTATGCAGCCAAAAAACACATGAAAAAATGCTCATCATCACTGGCCATCAGAGAAATGCAAATCAAAACCACTATGAGATACCATCTCACACCAGTTAGAATGGCAATCATTAAAAAGTCAGGAAACAACAGGTGCTGGAGAGGATGTGGAGAAATAGGAACACTTTTACACTGTTGCTGGGACTGTAAACTAGTTCAACCACTGTGGAAGTCAGTGTGGCGATTCCTCAGGGATCTAGAACTAGAAATACCATTTGACCCAGCCATCCCATTACTGGGTATATACCCAAAGGACTATAAATCATGCTGCTATAAAGACACATGCACACGTATGTTTATTGCGGCATTATTCACAATAGCAAAGACTTGGAACCAACCCAAATGTCCAACAATGATAGACTGGATTAAGAAAATGTGGCACATATACACCATGGAATACTATGCAGCCATAAAAAATGAAGAGTTCATGTCCTTTGTAGGGACATGGATGAAATTGGAAATCATCATTCTCAGTAAACTATCGCAAGAACAAAAAACCAAACACCGCATATTCTCACTCATAGGTGGGAATTGAACAATGAGATCACATGGACACAGGAAGGGGAATATCATACTCTGGGGACTGTTGTGGGGTGGGGGGAGGGGGGAAGGATAGCATTGGGAGATATACCTAATGCTAGATGAGGAGTTAGTGGGTGCAGCACATCAGCATGGCACATGTATACATATGTAACTAACCTGCACAATGTGCACATGTACCGTAAAACTTAAAGTATAATAAAAAAAAATCATGAAAAAACAAACAAACAAACAAACAAACAAAAAAAACCAAACACCGCATATTCTCACTCATAGGTGGGAACTGAACAATGAGATCACATGGACACAGGAAGGGGAATATCACACTCTGGGGACTGTTGTGGGGTGGTGGGAGGGGGAAGGGATAGCATCAGGAGATATACCTAATGCTAGATGACGTGTTAGTGGGTGTAGTGCACCAGCATGGCACATGTATACATATGTAACTAACCTGCACAATGTGCACATGTACCCTAAAACTTAAAGTATAATAAAAAAAAAAAAGACTATACAGACTGATCCCTTTCCATCTTTGCTCATAGTGATTTTTAAGTGTTAGAAAACAAAAAAGTAACCAATGGAAACTTTTCAAATAAAAACTGCTGACACGAACACATAGAAAGGTGAACAACTAGCTGTCTGAGGCTAGACATCCTCACCTACAAATGGATATTGATGGAGTTCAGGACATGGCATTTACAGTAGCAGGAAGGTCACTCTCACCTTCTCCTGTTCTCCCCTGCAGCTGGTCATAAAACATAGCTAGGATTTTCTGAACACCCCCTGGAGCAGGTCATAAGATACTCATTTGAGAGATGCCGTCCCTATCCCCTGAAGAAAGGAACATCCTTATCTCTGAAGACACAGGGACACAGAGAAGAATCTGAACAAAAGCCTTGCTGATTTTCTTCGTTTATTTCCATTAGCTCATATCTCCTTTGCCCAATCATATTTCTCCACCACTTTCCTCTCTTCATCAAACCTGGAGTAAAAATATTCAAGTTTCACTGTTTGTTCAGTTCTTCATTTCCTTATAAAGACTCCTGTATCATGGAAAACTTACATGAAATAAATTTGTATGTTTTTCTTTTGCTAATCTGTCTTTTGTTGCAACAGAGGCCTTGGCGATGAATCCAGGGTGGGTGAGAAAAAGATATTTTTCCTCCCCTACAATATGCTTATAAACATATGTAGCAGTAAACCTATTTCTAGGTAGGTAGCATCCTGTGAAAGCACCAATGAAATAATATAGAATTTGTTTTGATTTTGGCATTCAGTCATACCTAGAGAATATCGTAAGTAGATGCAAAGGGATGACAACCAGTATCTACAATGAACTACGACCATCATCATAATAGCGGCGATTGACATTTATTGAGTACTTATGCTAATTCTTGGTAGATATGATCTTATTTGATCCTCAGAGCAATTCTATGAAATAAATAGGATGAACAACTACATTCAACAGAAGAGGAAATTGACACTGGGTATTAACCCAGGATCGTGCCTGCCAGGAAAGAGTGGAGCTAGAATGTGAACCCAGGCAGTCTGAGTCCACAGCTTACCCTCTCAACCACTAGTCTGTAGTGTTTATTCCAGCTCGAGAGTGCATCTAGAGTGGTGACTATTTAAGTTTTTGAATAACAAAATGACAAAATCAGTTCTGTTTGTGGCAGGAAAAAAAAGTGACCCTGAAGAAATACATTTATTTGAAATATATATGACTATCTCCTTACCATAAATTAATTTCATTGTTTTCATTCTCATGACATGTCACTATGTATTTACAATTTAAAAAATCAGTTTTGCCACGTTACTAAATTTGGGACAATCATAAAATGTAATAGACAGTACTCTGAGAATAAGAAAAGTTTATTTCCTGGGGTGACTTTCATAGTCACTAAACACAGAACAACTTGCACATTTCAATATTTCCTCCTGACAGTACAGATACTGTCTCTATTGTCACTATTACACTGACTCTAATATCAGTTTTCGTATATCATTTCTATAGTTGTATAAGAACATCTGCTCATATGATTTATCTGCAGCTTAGCACAATCAACTGCATACCTTTTTAGTTCAGGAGGATTAAAAGAAAACTCATTCTACCCAAAGAGAGCTGAGAAGTTAATGAATCTGTAGATCAGAACAAATTAAAACCTATTAATTATAAGGAGTCTGAAATGCCAATATATTATATTTTGAATACACAGCAACCAGGAATATCATGCAAAAACGCTGATATGCTGTGGAGCAAAGAAATGGAACAGATCCCAGAAACTCAGGACCTCGGCCTTTTGGTGGCGCTGTTGCTATGTGCTAGTGCCAGGAAAACAGTATTCATATATAATTAACTACCACGGAGCACAAGCAGCTTTGCTTTTCCATGATCAAGCTGCTAGAGATTTTGGGGTGAGGGAGCGAAATGAAGGCTAAATAAAAGAACCGGAGATAAGATAATCCTGCCATGTTAAAAGGTAAAGATAATATTTTTATGTTGTTATGTAAAACCTATGAAAATGGCGATAATGTTGCAAGGTTAATCAAGACCATAAATAACTTGTCTGAGAACCTCACCATATGCCTGCAGTTTTATTAAGTGTATTTTGCCTCGTTATTCTCCGAATATTATGCTCTGCAACATGCCATGTTGATGGATGCATGCAATGAGCTTTTCTTTTCTTTTTTGTAAGCTAAAGAGACTTATGTGCTTGATATTAGGTATGGGAATTCTTTTTTTTTTTTTTAAGAGATGGGGTCTCATTGTGTTACCCACACTGGCCTTGAATTCCTGGGCTAAAATCCTCCTGCCTTAGCCTCCCAATTAGCTGGGAATACAGACCTGTGCCACCATGCCCCCGTTCAGGTTATGTTAATTATTAACCTGAAGGAATGACAGCTTTGGGGCATCTGCTCACAGGGTAGCTGCACAATAAACCTACTTTTCTTGAATCTACATTTGAGGAGAGACAGTGAAATGAAATATTGAAATAATGAGATAATGAAGGAGTTTATTTGGAAGGATCTGAGGGAGTCAGTCTGTATGCTGATGGTTAAACTCACATCAAAACAAACACTACAGAATCTCTGCTTACTCTTTCAGGTCTCAGTCGTCATAAAAAGGGAAAATGTCCTAGAAATTCTGTTCTGATCACTCAAGTGGCCCTTTGAGGAGAATAACCTTGGGGAAACAGCAGTTGACAGTCAGTGTGAGCTTACTCTGCTAAGCACCAGGCACATGCATTTCATGTACTCATTCGATTTGCATAATGCCAATATTAGGAAGGTTCTTTTATTATTTCCATTTCAAAGATGATCATGTCCATAAATGGCAGAGCTGGAATTTGAGCCCAGGTTGACTGATCTAGAGTTTATATTTGTTTGGGCATCCCATGAAGCAGTGTCCATTGATAGCTGTTCCTGTTCCTTAAAAAAAGAAAACACACACACACACACACAACATGGCTTTATGCTATTGTCAATCAAAATCCCTCACCAAGATAAAATTCACTTAAAATTCATTATAACTAACTCCTAGTGCCCTTCCAAAGGCTGCCGAGAGCCCAGTTTTTGAATAAATCTCACGAGGGCTACTCCTAACAGAAACTCTCCAAAATTGATTGATTGTAGCCTGGTTTCCACAGAAGTTGTAAAGTATTGTTTTAATTGAATTTGGTTCTAAGTTAGAAACTTTGAAAAATTTGTCTGTCAAAGGCCAATGGATTTCTCAGTAGGCTTGATTTATTTAGCAAGAGATGCCTACAAAAGCCAATTTGCTATGAGGAATGTGGTTACATTTAATTACACTTTTAAATGACTAATTTGTTATATCTAAACACCTTTTAAACAGTACATATTACTCTGAACTGTACAGATGCTGAGGAATCAAAGTTTGTGTTAAACACAAAGGATTTTGCTAAAGACTCTTCATTTTACTCTGCGTAGGCTTTCTGGCTTCAGACTGCAATGTGTGTGAAGTCGTCAGGTAAAAATGCTAAACTGAATGGGACCGGACTACATCTTTTTCTTCCTATTTGCAATCAGGCCCTGCTCAGAAGGAGATTTTCCTTTGGGTGTATATTTAATATCCATTTATCAAATCTTGAATTGAAAATATTACATGCATCACTCAGGATTTATTTAAGCAAAGCAAAGCTGATGTTTATTTTGGAATCTTGACGAAAATTATTTTAGAGTAAAAAATGAATTTTTAAAAATTATACTTTAAGTTTTGGGATACATGGGCAGAATGTGTAGGTTTGTTACATAGGTACACATGTGTCATGGTGGTTTGCTGCACCCATCAACCCGTCATCTACATTAGGTATTTCTCCTAATGCTATCTATCCCTCCCCTAGCCCCCTACACTCCGACGGGCACTGCTGTGTGATGTTTCCCTCCCTGTGTCCATGTGTTCTCACTGTTCAACTCTCACTTATGAGTGAGAATATGCAGTGTTTGGTTTTCTGTTCCTGTATTAGTTTGCTGAGAATGATGGTTTCCGGCTTCATCCATGTCCCTGCAAAGGACCTAAACTCATCCGTAAACAAGGAATTTTTAAAAATATTATTGATTGATTCATTCAAGTAATGACTGACAACTAGCTGTGATGCCTTGTGCTAGCCTTTGTGCTCCAACACAGAAGGTATGAAAGAACACAGGCAGGGTTCTGCCTTCAAGGAATTCACAACCAGGCCTGGGGATAGTGGTAACAGTGGTTGGCTAATGTCATAAGTGCTGTAATTGAGCCAGAAGATAACAGGGACCCAGAGAGGGAAGCGAATAATTCTGTTCAGGGTGGGATGAGGGTTGGGGAGAGTTTCATGAAGCAGTGACAAGTGAGTTGGGGCCTTCAGAAATAAGCAAAAGGAGGGATAAACAGTCAGAGTACAGAGAATTTTAGGGGCAGTGAAACTACTCTGTATGATACTATAATGGTAGATACATGTCACTATACCTTTGTCTAAATCCATAAAATGCACAACACCAAGAGTGAACCCTGATAATGTGACAATGATGTGTCAATGGAGGTTCATTAATTGTAACAAATTACCACTCTGGTGGGGGACACTGATAATAGGGTTCGTCTCAATTTTGCTGTGAACCCAAAACGGCTCAAAACAATTATAAGTCTTTAATAAAAAATTAGCCAAAAACCAAAAAACCAAAACAGAAATTAAAGAGCCATTTTCTAAATAGAGAAGGAGCTGCCAGACAGAGAAGAGATGAGCATGGCCTGATCTGAACACAGGGCATGGCTCACCAACTGACAGCCAAGTTGACAGTGTGGCAGGAGCAGAGTGGCTCACTTGTGTGTATGTTGGGTGGGGGGTGGGTAGCGAGACAAGCAAAACTCATTTCAAGTGCTACGCAAGCTGACAGAGAAACGAAGGCACTAAGAGGAGGTTATCTTGCTAAAGGAGAGACTCCCCACTGTCCCCTCCACCACAGACTTAATTTGGCTTCCTTTTGGAACTTGGAATTCCAGTCCCCTCTTGTCTGCATGGTAAACTTGAACTCATTCTTGAACTTTGGCTTAACTGTTGTCTTCTCTGTGAAAGCATCCCTGAAACCCACATGCGGAATCACTCCCTCTCACGTGTTCCCATAACTCGTTATTCTATCACTTGCCACCCTGAGTTACAGTGAGCCGTTTACCTGGGCTTCCCCACCAAAACTGTGAATACCTCAAGCTTGGATAAGGCTTTATCTGTATCCTCAGTAGCCAGCCTAGTTCACAGCACATGTGTGCCACTCAAAAACATATGTGTGGAATGAGTGAATGTGAGACAGACAAGCAAGCTTGTGGTGAGAGTTATCAGGGAGATACTCCTGACTCTTGTGGCAGAGAAGGTGTATCCTTCACAACGAGGCCTGGAGAAGGGCTACAGTGACTTTAGAGCTAAGTCTTGAGGATAATCAGGTCCACGGTACAGGGATAATGTGCAGAGTGCATCTAGGGACTACAGAATGGAGTGAAAGGTGGGGTGCAGTGAGAGATGAGGCTGGAGAGAGGGCAAGTCTCAGATCATGGGGGCTCCTGTATGCCAAGGTAAAGAGGTGATGGGGAGTCACTGAAAGGCTTTACCTAATGAAGAGATCAGATCAGATCAGATTTGGGCTTTAGGAAGATCACTAATGTGAATAATAATGATAATAATAATGACAGCTAAACTTCATTTATTAAGTACTTATGTCTCAGATACAGTGCCAAGCATTTTATAAGGGTCACAGCTTGGATCTCAACCGTGGAAATTTGACGTCAGAGCTGAGGCTCCTAACCACCAGGTTACAGTGCTTTGACTGGAGGCACAGAGATGTTAGGGGACTATTGAAGGAATTCAGATGAAAAATAAAGTGCATAAACCATAAAAAAGAGTGAAATCATGTCCTTTGCAGCAACATGGATGCAGCTGGAGGCCATTATCCTAAGCAAATTAATGCAGGAACAGAAAACCAAATACTGCATGTTCTCACTTATAAGCAGGAGCTAAACATCAGGTACTCATGGAAATAAATATGTCAACAATAGAAACTGGGGACTGCTAAAGGAGAGAGGGAGGAAGGGGACAGGGATTGAAAAAGTAACTATTGGGTACTATGCTCAATACCTGCATGAATGAATCATTTGTACCCCAGTCTTCAGTATCATGCAATGTACCCTGGTGACAAATGTGCACATGTACCTCCTCAATCTAAAATAAATACTGAAAAAAAAAAGTGCATAATCTGTCATGGGATTAAGGGGAAAAAAGAAAAAAGGAAAAGTGCCAAGGCTGTGGTATTAGGAAGGGTGGGTTAAGAGATAAAAAGGAGAGAGGATTCTTAGGATTTGGAGACCAGCTGGATGTGGGATAAAGAAGCGGGAGAAATGAAGATGCCTTCCAAATTCCTGGCTAAAGGATCAATATGGATGTTGACATTATTCACTGAGATAAAAGAAGAGTGGGACAGGCCGGGCATGGTGGCTCACCTGTAATCCCAGCACTTTGGGAGGCCAAGGTGGGTGGATCATTTGAGGTCAGGAGTTTGAGACCAGCCTGGCCAACATGGTGAAATCCTGTCTCTACTAAAAATACAAAAAATTAGCTGGGCATGGTGATGGGTGCCTGTAATCCCTGATGGGTGCCTGTAATCCCAGCTACTTGGGAGGCAGAGGTTGCAGTGAGCCAAGATCGAGCCACTGCACTCCAGCCTGGGTAATAGGGTGAGACTCAGTCTCAAAAAAAAAAAAAAAAAAGGGATATTATTGTGATGAATAAAGTTATGAATTCTTTTATTTCTTCTTTTTCACTGTCCCTGTGCAACTTTTAAAGAGAAAGGCATGAGCTCTCAAAAAGACCACAATGATGCTTGCAAAATTGCTCTATCTAAACTCTATACAAGCAGCAAGACACAGAGTTCATTAAGGAATACAATTTTCCATTTGGCGGTAGTTCCAATGTTAGATAGACTGACTCTGATGCAATAATAAACATATCTTATGAATACCAAAGGTAGGCTTTTCAATATTTTCTCTGTCTAAAAAATATCAGACCATTTTCAGTTTCTCATTTGGTCAAATAGAGGGGTTATTAAGTTCATTACCAAAGGCCTTATTTTTGGCTGTATACTTTTCGAGTGGAATAGATGTCATGCAGGAGACTTCAGTCCTTGCCAGAACAGGACAGCGATGAGAACACTGTATCCAGGGCAACCAAGAGTTCAGCCTTTTCAGTCCATAAATAATCATTCCTCAGCTTGCCCTTTGTAATGTTGGTCTCCAAGCTACTTCATGACAGAATCAGCTCGATCAGGAGGCCACTGTTCTCTTTCTTACTTGCAGTTTAAATGACTGCTGCAGAGTATTTTATAAGAAAGGCAATGTTTCAATTCTACTGCAAATTGTACTGGTAAAAATCTGCAACTGACTCTTATGATCTTAGCTTGGCTACAAGAATACTCTAACCAGAGTAACCAGAAGTCAGATATTTTTCTGGGTGCGTGGATACTTTTTGGCACCAAGGCTGCCAGAGGTGTTATGTATATTTGATAGTTGTGTTTAATGAAAGCACAACTGAGGCAAGAGAAACCTGAAGGTATGCAAGGTAGGGATAAAGAGCACTAATCCCCCCATCAAACCAACTGGAATTCTTCTCCATGAAGACTTGTGTAAGTTCTCCCCAGAGCACAGAAATCTCACCTTCCATGGGATATCCAGATATCCACTGGATAACACTCATTTGACAACTGAGTCACCACATCATGGTGGTCAGGAGCCCAGACTTAGGAGTCAGACCAAGTTAGATCTGATTCACTTTACTCAAGAGCCTCCATTACTCAAGAGCTCTGCAACAGTGCTTACCACACAGAGTAGCCGTAAGGAGTAAACTAGATAACATGTAAGGCATTAGGTGCCAGGGCCTCTGAGATTTCCAAGATCTACAAAGATGTTGGAGACCTGGAAAAAACTGGCTTTAAAATATGAAAAGCAAGTCACAAAATTCATATGTATTTAATTAAATACTTAAAACCTAACTTATCCGCGTCAACTATACTTCAACTCAATCTTTATATAGTTATATATAAATGAGTAAAAGTTATTTTATATTTTCTTTAAAAATTGTATAGCAAAAACATATTTACTTTTGGATGAAAGTATATTTTAGTCTGTTTGCTATGATATTGAATGTAGCCTTATAAGTAAATGTTTCTCAGGCCTGTGGAGGTCTTAAAATGGCTCTAGGTACTTAAAGAAATGGTAGCTCTAATTATCATTATTATACCAATGATTTTATTATTCTGCCTTATGACATTTCTTGTGCTGTACTGAACTGTTCGACTGTTGTTTACGCTCTGTCTTTCCAATTAAGTTGTAAGGTCCTTGAGGACAGTATTGTAGAGAATGGACTGAGTTTAAAAACTGGGCTCTGCTCTGGGCTCCACCACTGACCAGGTGTGGAAGCTTGGACCCAGGCTTTAGTTTCTTCACCTGAAAAACAGGAAGACTAAGACCTGTTCCAACTCCTCTGCTGGGCCATAGTGAGGGCAATGGGCCATACTGAAGTGCTTTAACTATGGAAACACATGGGAATATAAGCTTCTGAAGCATCCACAGTGCCTATCGTAGCCCATCAGACACAGGGAGCAATCAGTGAACATCTGGTGACTTCTACAGAAGGTTCTTTTCTGTCTTCATATCCAAGCAATACTTGTGTATCTATAGTCTTTTCCTCTGTGTTCATTCATTTCATAAATACTTATTTAACAAATATTGAGCCTCTTGTATGTGCCACAGGGCTTGTACTAGGGGATACAATGGGACACCCAGTGTCTACAGTAAAATTGTTCTTTTTGTTCTTTCAATGTGTGATTTGATATATCATCATATATACATTTTCTGAAGGTAAATAAGACAATTTAAGAAAAGACTGTCATCTTCTAATTTCTGTCCTTTCTCAAACACTATTTCAGAATGGACTCTGATTATTTCTCATAGGGAGAGTTCTCATTTTGGTCCTGGCTTTTCCAGGCAAAGCTGGGATTTGTTAGAAAAAAGCTTGCTCCTTGTTAAGCAATGAGAGGAAGCTGCAAAGCCAGGGACTCACGGGTGGCAGGCAGGAGTTCCAGGTGGTTGTGTCGTCACTGCTGGTACTTATGCTGACATTACAGTTGTCCACCTGGGAGGCACTCAGGCCATGGGAGGTCCCAGCATCCTCCAGTTCTTCATTTTGTTGCCACCGTAGGCTTGCTAGCATCTGTAACTCGGATTCACTCATCTGGCTTGGCTGATAGTTTCGCCAGTCATATTCCTGACCAAGAGAGAGGAAAATAACAAAGGGTCATTTGGCCTAATTCTACGGCTACTAACAAATGCCACAGCCTTAACCCCTACAGCAGCTCCCCCAACTGACAGAGGCCCAAATCCCTAACATGCCTCCATGCGCTACCTGCCCCATCCATTATACCACCTCCTGTCCATTTGCTCCTCACATGCCAGCCACTTTGTCCTTCATTAAGGTCCTCAAAAGCATCAGTCCTCTCTTAGTCCTGTGCACATGCAAGTCCCCTCTGCCTCGTGTTCTGGGTAATGCTTAGGCTCCCTTCAGGTCCTCAGTTATGATGACTTCCTCAGGGAAGCCTTTCCTGACAACCATAAACTGGGTCAGCTCCTTTATGATGCCCTCTCAGAATCTTAAAATTTTCACTTTTAGCATTGATCACAGTTGCACTGATGGAATTGTTTCTGGAGTTGGCAGGTTTGCTGGGAGCTCTACAACGGCAAGCACCATGACTGTTTTGCTCTCACTGCCTTTCCTAGGTCTGGTGCCTAGTAGGTGCCCAACCAGTTTTTGTAGATTAAGTAAATAAACAAAAACTCAAAGTAGTTTTTTTTTTAAATTTGCCATTTAAAAAAGCACAGCTTATGAGTGAATTGATGAATTTCATCATTGTAAACATAATGACCAAATATATTCAACTTGCAGTAAGATTGAGAATGACTAGTATTGGTAAAAGCCATCAAGTAAAATTTGAATGTAAGATGGGAACCTGTCAGTTCTGAAAGCCTGGAAGATCTCATAGCTCCAACCAAGGTGGATTTACTGTATATGTCATCTGTCAGGTACTTTTTGAAAAAGAATACTACTACAGATCTTTAGATGCTAGTATAAATATTATTTCATGGTATAGGTGGAAATTGGCATGTAGACTTTTCAAAATTTTCCCTTTCTTTCTCTCTGGCCTAAACTAGATTTGATAACAAACATTAATTTCAACATTACTAAAATATTAGAATCACATATGAGCAGTGTGATTTACACGCAGAACTGCCATATAACTTAAAAGCAATTTGAAAATTTTCTTGTACATCTGGAAACACTGGTTGTACTAATAAGGATTTTTTTCCAAGACACCTTAGAATTTTTTAGATGTTTATATCTCTACATACACTTTCTTGGAGGACTCTCTGGCTTCTTTTCTGCCTCATAGGAGTGTAAAAAATTTAAAAATACATAATTTTGAAAAAAATTCTTGGAGTTCCTATGACATTAAATGCTTTATAATAAAACATTATTATCTTCATAATTTGGGGTTTATAAAAGCTTGTTATCTGATAATGTGATGTGGAGACTTCCTAAAAAGTTGCCAGTGGAAACTCAGTTAAATCCTTATAGTTCATGGCACAAGCAGCTTGGCACTGTGAGAGGCCAGGCAATCTTTAATAAGGTATTTCATGAGCATTTAATATGCTTTCAGAGTTCTTGGGCCAAAATACGTATCACAAGAAGAAGAATAAAATGTATATCCCAATGAAAAATGCAAAAATAAAAAAGGAAACAGAAATAATTTAAATTCAAAAGAAGTAGTTGAGGGGACAATAAACACATACAAAGATGTTCAACATCCTTGTCATTAGAGAAATACAAATCAAAACCACAATGAGATACCTTCACACCCATTAGGATGGTTACAATAAAAAAGAGACAATAACACGTATTGGCAAGGATGTGGAGAAACTGAAACCCTCATACAGTGTTGGCAGAAAAGTAGAATGTTGCAGCCACTTTGGAAAACAGTTTGGCAGTTCCTCAAAATGTTAAACATCTGAGTTACCATGTGACCCAGCAATTCACTCCTAAGCATATACCAAGAAAACTGAAAACATATGTTCACACAAAACTTGCACACAAATGTTCAAAGAAGCATTATCCATAATAGCCAAAAAGTGAAAACAACCAAGTGTCTATCAACTGATGGATGAGTTTTTGTTTATCCACATAATGGAATATTACTCAGCCTAAAGAGTAATGAAGGGCTGGATGAACTTTGAAAATATTATGCTATCTGAAAGAAGCCAGGCACAAAAGGCCACATATTGTGTGATTTACTTTATATGAAATGTCCAGAATAGGCAAATTCACAGAGACAGAAAATAGATTAGCGGATGGTGGGGCTGGAGGAAAGGGAAACGGGAAGTGACTACTAGTGGGTGCATGTTTTCCTTTTGGAGTGATTAAAATGTTCTGAAATTAGGTCAAAATGATGGTTACAGAATCTTGTGAATATACTAAGAACTCCCGAATTCCTTACTTTAAAAGAGTGAATTTTATGGCATACAAATTATATTTCAATTTAAAAAAAGGAGTTTGGTAATCAGATGTGCACATGAGAATACCAGCTGCTTGACTTTAGCTGCAGCAGTGAGCAAGTGACTTGCTGTTCTTCAGTTTTTCGGTCAAGAAGTGGGATTAAGCGTTCTAATGTGTCACATAGGTATGTTAGTTGGCTCATCATTGCCAATACACACTTTTACAATGAAAAACACATTTTATTTTAATTTTCATAATTTTTCTTAAGAAGAAAGCTTTAATATGTACTTCATATGATTGAGTCATTCATTCAATTTACTTATTTAATCCACAAGGCTGTAGTGTGCCTGAAGAACAACACTGGGTTCTAGGAGAGAAGAATAAGAGAGGATGTGGCAGTGGTTAAGCCAGAAAAATCTAAGCCTGGGCCTTCGTTCCACCACTTACCAGCTTTAAATGACTAGGAAAATTACCTAACCTCTCTATGCATCAACTTCTTCATCATGGGGACCACAGTACATACCTCACAGGATTTTTGGTGAACTAAATGAAATAATATTACATTGAATGCTTAGTAGAGGCACCTGACAAACAAATATACTAGGGGGGTCTCCAAATGCGTGATTTGTACCTTTAATGGAAAATTTTTGAATGTGTACTTTGTAATATATGTTTATTTATGAACTAAATATATGCACAAACATTTTAAAATAGTATGTAGAGTACAAAACATACATAAAAAATTGGAATTAAAGTGCTTAGGATTAAAAAAACAAACTTGTTTTCAATTTTTCTTCCTGAATCTGAATGGGTTGTCTTTGGTACACACTTTCAGGGATGAGCACAGCCCTCTTAAGAGACTGCTGAGTTGGCAGTCAATACATATATCCCTGTTCTTATTATTTTTTCCTCTCATCTTCTCTGTCCCCCTTCTTCCAGTCTTTCATCCATTCTGTAAATGCTAGGAACTGGGAGCACAAAGAAAACAAGACATACTTCTGTCGTCATGGAGTTCACAGTCTACAAAGGGAGACCTGAGAGGTATTATATAACTGGAATTCTAATGTACTGTGAGAAATATGACAACAGAAGTATGAATAAGATGCCTGAGGAATGCAGCACAGATGTGACTAACCGCCCAGTGGAATTAGAAAAAACCTCACAGAAGTCTAAGGTGGCATTTGAGAGTAATTAAATTTGTTGACAAATGGAGTTAGTGGCCTTCAGAGGGACTCCCACCACTGGCAGGCAGTATTGAAGCTGAGGCTGAAGGAATATGTGGCTGCGATATTCCCTGTATTCCACTGCAGTAATAGAAATAGATTGATTCGTTAATTTATTCTGTAGAAACTTACTGAGACCCTATTATGTGCCAGGCACTGCTGATGCTATATTTGCTTAAAATGCTGCATTTCCATGACTTTATTTCATACAACAGTAAAATGTATTCTGACAACACCCTGGAAGGGGCAGCCAAAATCCAGCAGAGAGAAGAAAGCAACTTTCTCCAGCATCACTAATAGAGCAACTGGTGATGGAGTCAGGTAATTAACTTAGTCCTGCGAAATGTTTTTGATTTGCAATCTCCCAAATCATTTCAAAATCACCAGAAAGGCTAAATCATTTATTTGTTATTTTTAAGAAGCTTTGCAATAAAGTCTTTGCATTAAAGTGGACTCCAGCACAAGATGTCATCTAACTAAATTACACTACTGCTGAGAGGCAAAGTGGCTTATGTAATACTATCTCTGAAAGGCTCAAAATGTTATGTATAATTCAATTTCATCTCAAAATATCCTTGTAGGAAAGAGGGGAGACATTATCAATCAGATTTGTCCTAGGAACGAGGCAATGGGCTGAAGGCTATGTACAATTCAGCTGTGCTCAGATTCGCAGGCCAGTCCTTCTCTCTCCAAGCCATTCAATCCATTCATTTTCACTGATCTTTCTCCAGACATTATTGGGAGCCTACACCAGTGAAGTTACAAAGACAATTAAGATATGGCCTTGCTTTCATAAACCTTACATCTATCAGGGCAATTGAGAGCTATAAAGAAGGAACTCTAAAATAGGATAGTATATGTTGAGGTATAGTATTAATGATCACACAGGTCCTTGATAATGATTAAAAGGAAAACTGATAACTCCAGCAAAAACATAAAACACAACAAACAGAAACAACCTTTCAACTTGATGTCCTTCGCCCAATCTATTCCTTAAGCTGCTAGGACAGAATAGTTTAATCAATCAAACATCTGATGATAGAACTTTTTGAGCCTCAGATAGGAACCAGTTCTGCTAAACATTGGGTGACACAAGGCTAAATCTACAGTGGAGGTGTGGAGAAAAATGAGACATGGCCATGGGATAAGATCAGACCAAGAATCTCATTCTGTTCTTCATGGGCTGAAGGGGGATAGAATTGAGAGAAAACTGGGATGTTACTTTTGTTCTGGAGCCTACAAAATCTGTGAGACTCTCTTGTCAGTATCAGGCTTGCATTGTGACAGTGCCTGATAGTCATGGCCCAGGAGACATCATGTTGCAAAAACTTTCAATACAAGGACTATCGAACAATCTCCACCTCTGTATTTAAAAAAAAAATTATTCCCAGTGTAACTTTTTAAAAAAGCACTATTACAAAGGAAATGGTGGCTGTTGGGATATAATATTAAAAACAACATAAGAGAAGGGAGATATACAAAATGGTTTGGCATTTCAGAAAAGAGAAAGGTCGTTTTGTGGAGGATCAGTTAAAGCTTCATAAAGGATGGAGGAGACGGTCCCTAAGAAGGGGCTTGAAGGAGAAGGAGGGTAATATGGCAGCACGTTCCAGCCATCAGGCAGAAAAGCATGGGGCAACCTGGAAGTAGGGAGCTTGTGTTCATATCAAATAATTAAATAGACTATCAAGTAATACTTATACATTACTGTTTCAGCAATGAAGCCAGTAATACCGTTCCAAAGCATCAAGGATAAGAATGCCTGTAATTTACTCTAAACCTTAAGAGACCAGATGGCTTCCCTTTCCCTGCCCAAGTTTTATTAAAAGTCTAAGATTCTACCAAAAGATATATTCTTAATAGCTTCTAAATGGAAATCGCCCACATGCCCATCAACAGTAGAATGGATACATAAAGGATGATATAATCACACAGTGGAACACGACACAGCAGTGAAATGAGTGATGTATTGAAGCTAATGAACAAAATGCTAAGTGAGAGAAGCCAGACACAGAAGAGTACATATTGGTAAAACCAAATGTGGGGATAATTAGTTGTGAGGAACGAATAGTGACAGGGAGGGAGCACAGTGGGGCTTCTGGGGTACTGATCTTGCTCTTTCTTGATCCAGAAAATGGTTGCATGGGTGTGTTCAGTTTGTGAAAACTCATCAACATACAGGCTTATAATATGCACACTTCTCTCTGATCAACAACAAAGTCTAAGGCTCACTTGTGAATCACTGGAAAACTCAATCTAAACAGTCTTAGCAGTGAAAAAAAGTATTTTGTAAATACAGCTGGAGAGTCAGTATCACTGGTGGTTTGAAATTTATATTTATTAAAAACTTTATAGCTGTCATTAGAAAGTTTTGGAAGATGTTTTTGGACCCCAACATGACAGTAAGAAAAGTACTAGAAGTCCATTTTCCAAAGCTAATTTTAAACTTCAACTGCCATTTGAATTCGAGGATTAATCTTCTCTCTATTGCTATTTGCAGACAGTGTTTAATCTCCACAGTGACATTTTAAATAATAGCTGATGGTAAATTAGTGTTCCAGGGCACCTCTTTACTAGCATTCCTGAAAACTTGTTTCAGATTCTCAAGCTAGGCATCATACCCAAGAGTTTAACCTGACTCATTGGGGATGTAGGTCCAATAATAAAAGGAATGGAGAGAAGACAGTAGCCACAAGCACAAGCTGTAAGTGACACATATTTGTGCGCATAGCTCATTCACAATTTATGGTAGCTTTTAGCACGTGTCTCTACCATGCAAAGGAGTAAATTAAAGCTTAAAGACCAAGCCACGGCACAACTTGAAAAATTTTACTAAATTTAAGGGTTGCTATATTGAGTTACATAGCAGGAATCAGGAGTTAGGCCATAACCAGCTGGTCAGAATCTAGATCGTGTATTATGTTCATGGCAGGCACATGGACCTAGGCATAACCAGACTTGATGCTGCCTTTGAAATATCTGTCATAAGCATTTTAGCATGCGACCCTGAAGACATTTCATAAGCCTGGCTCAACTCATACTTCATTAACTATGCACACCACTCACTTAAGAATGTCTCAGGTAGAAGATTCTTGGGTAATTAAACCAATTGGTGGCAAAATTCCTTGTAAAGAGATAGATAACTTTCCATCTCACATATGTGTCTCTCTTTTTTGGGGAGGAGCATGCATGAAAGGTTTTGTAAAAAAAGATCTTTATATTGATGTGCTATATTTATATAGAATAACTTTTTACTCTATGACCTAAATAGAAATATACTTCCATACATTTTGCTGTGATAGCCTGCTAATTTTCAGAAAGAATTCTCTGACAAATAGAGCTGAACTCTTATTAACCTTAAAGTGAATTGAAAAACAAATTTTAAGTTTCCCGCACCTATCTTCTGAGTTCAGGGTATGTCTCAAGCTTAACAATTAACTATACACTAGAAGGAATATAGTAAAATCTAATCGAATAGGTTTCATACTATATTCAAGGATATGCCATCTACAGGGCAACTATAGCCTTGTACATAGGACAAGTATAGTAGCCATTCAATAAATGGTAGTTTAAGATATTATTTAAAGAACCAGGAGGAAAATTATTACTGAGACTGTTTACAGAAATGAAAATAGAGGAGGTAAGCCAACTGATATATCTGGAGTGGGAAGATGATAACTTTAAGTAAGCTTGAACTGTTTTAGAATGTAAAGCTTTGGTTGAATAGAGTAATGACAGATATACCAACATTTGTGTGTGCTTTTGCACATTAAAATACGTTAAAGCATAAAGTGGCAAGAGAAGTTGTCACATGATCATGGAATGTTTTCAGTGGCCTCTAATTGGGGGTAGCAGCCCATTGTGGTGGAAGGTGCCCTGGCTTTTCTGTCCCTAACTCCTGGATTTGACACTGCTTTGTCACAATTTAGATGAGAGTGAGGTGGAGCCTTTCTGCTTCCTGTCTGTCAAAGAGGAATAATAAGGCCTCTTGTGAGGGTTGGAGATGAAGATAAGATAAAGTAAGGAGCACCTTGTGGAAGGCCTGGCATATGGGAGATACCTCAAACCATTAAAGTCACATAAAAGCTTCTGAGTCAAGGATTTCAGATCTTAGTGCTTTTAGGAAATACACTCAGCTTAGTACCTTTTCCATGAAGAGGTGAGTAAGACTTGCTTCTATTTAAAACTTGGAAAACCAAGACAGCAGAGAAGATAAATGTCTTCAATAAACATTTGATGAGTAGGATGCTAACCTTAGCACTAGAATATTAAAGAATTGACAGTGAACCATCATAGTGTTGGCTAAACAGCCAACTCATACTTCTGATAGCACCTTAATGTCTGTCAAGTCTTTCTACCTAGAATTTCCGAAACTTTTGAGAACTTGAAATTTCTCCTCTTCATTAGAGTAATGGGCGCACTGTTTGCATACAAAGCTGCTCAGAAATGGAGATATCAAAATGTCTTAGTGACTACTGCTATTCCATACCATTACCCAAAATTTGAACCATAATTCCATTTTACTTATTTAAAAATACTTCTACTCCACACCATTTTGCCTTTGCAACCATTGCATTAAACACTGGATACAAAGAAAATGAAAGAAACAAACCATTCTGTAGCACAGCCAGGGTTCCGTCTGAAAAATATTTAAAAAGAGAGCAGAGGGACAGGAACAAGTTACACCTGGAAAATTTCTATGCCTAATTCAAATACTTTTACTGGCAGTGGAAATGTTATTTAATCACCAAATTCTGCAGTTTCAGCAATATCCCCAGCAGTGCATTGACAGATAAAACTGAGATAATAAACTTGTCTTTTCTGAGACAAGGAAAGAGTGCAGTTTTGACAAAACATCAAATATCAGACTGTTTTCCAAAAGCTATTGGTAGGAGTGTCCCACTTAGTAAAGGAAACATTCTCACTATGGTTAGCATTATGGTTTATGAACTGCTACTAGTTATGCCCAAATTCAATTCAAGACCTCAAGCAGGAAGCTACACATCTGCAATTTAGCTGTGTGAACAAGGTAGACACACAGAGGGTGGTCTCCGGGAAATTATCAGATAGACACTGCTTCCTGCTTATAAATAAATATTTTTCTCTCTTTAGGTTATCCCTGAGAACATGCCAATATGTTACCTGGCAGAAAGCACACAGAAATTCACTGTGTTAGCACTTGATTCAACTATAAATAAAGAGCAGGAAGCACACAACCACAGAGCCACCACCCCTGTAGAACAGTACCTGTAATTAATTTATGGAACTTTATGAATTTGAGAAGGTTTCATTTGCTTTAGAATGCCAGCCATACTGGTTTATATTTCTGCCTAACCACTCAGCAAAAGGTAGAAGAAAGTATACTTCAGATTAGGGGCTAGGTGTTCTACATGCGCTATCTAATTTTACACTCAAAACAACCTTGTGGGATAGGTATTATTTTCTCCATTTTATAGATGAGGTAACTGAGGCTCCAAGACATTAAGAAATGTGTCCAAGGTTGCATAGATAAGAAAGAACAAAGCCAGGACTCAACACCAGGCCTGTCTGATTCCAGCTGGTGCTCTGAGCCATGGTTTCCACTGCTTTTGACTTTTCAGTCATGGAGAATGAAAATGCAGATAGCTTTGACAGAGGGTTCTGTTTGGGGAAGGCTATTTATCAAATGACCTAGAGCAGCATGAGGCCAGTGGGCACATGTGGTAGAAACTGCCAAAGGAGGGAGAACCACCCCTAAGTGAACCTGCACAGTTAGCCAGGGCAATGAACATATGTCTAACACACAGGGTGACCTGACTCTCAAACAGGTGTTTTGAAATAATGCAATGTTGTTGTAGCTGAAGGGAGAGAAGGGTCAGAAAGACATTTATGGATTCTTCAAACAATGGGGTATTGTTGGAAAAACAGCTGCAAATGGCACATTTGAGTGGCAAATGGAAAGAGAGAGAGATGGCTTGAACAAAGAGTATTATATACCCTAGAAAAGGCAGAATTTTATATAATGAAGCAATGCTTTAAAAATACTAAAATAATTTACAAATTCATTTTTTCTCTAAGTTTATGGAGCACAAATTGCAGAGACTTTTATTACTTTAAAAATGTGATGATATTCTCTACTCCAATACTGAGTTTAAATATATCGGGGCAGAAACAAAACTAATTCTTTTACATTATCCAAAGGAAATGGCTTGATAATTAAAGGGAAAAATGTGCTCACACTATTCTATGGCCTAAAATATATTCAAAAGTGTCTTTCCATAATTCAGTTTTGATTTTCAAAAATGGAGATGTGAAGGTTAAAGTCAAAAGTTATATGGCTCATTTTACAATTCTTTTCCTATTAAAAGTCATGTCTCTTTCTTTTCTAAAGACAATACCTGAATTTATAATTGGTAGCATGCTTTGTCTTTCTTATGAAACTACGCATTCTTCAATAAGCTCAAACTTTTTCTGGAGCTATAAAGTCTGTTATATAAGTCTTTTGTTTGTTTGTTTAAAGAAACACATAATGACATTTGCCAGTTTAAAATGATTCGTTCAAAATTGCTTGAATACAGTTATACGTGCGAAAAAGTTTAATTACCAGCTATCTACATGGTTGCAATATTACCCAGAGGGTTGTACTTCTTTCCTAATTAAAAATATTTGAACGTAGTAATAGATAACTCTATTAAAGTATGAATAAAACATTGCAAAGAACAAGTTTACCCAGCACTTAGCAAATCATTTTCAGTAAGCATTCCTTAAGAATTACCAGTACTCGGAGGAGCCAAGATGGCCGAATAGGAACAGCTCCGGTCTACAGCTCCCAGCGTGAGCGACGCAGAAGACGGGTGATTTCTGCATTTCCATCTGAGGTACCGGGTTCATCTCACTAGGGAGTGCCAGACAGTGGGCGCAGGCCAGTGGGTGCGCGCACCGTGCGCGAGCTGAAGCAGGGCGAGGCATTGCCTCACCTGGGAAGCGCAAGGGGTCAGGGAGTTCCCTTTCCGAGTCAAAGAAAGGGGTGACAGACGCACCTGGAAAATCGGGTCACTCCCACCCGAATATTGCGCTTTTCAGACCGGCTTAAAAAACGGCGCACCACGAGACTATATCCCACACCTGGCTCGGAGGGTCCTACGCCCACGGAATCTCGCTGATTGCTAGCACAGCAGTCTGAGATCAAACTGCAAGGCGGCAGCGAGCTGGGGGAGGGGCGCCCGCCATTGCCCAGGCTTGATTAGGGAAACAAAGCAGCCAGGAAGCTCTAACTGGGTGGAGCCCGCCACAGCTCAAGGAGGCCTGCCTGCCACTGTAGGCTCCACCTCTGGGGGCAGGGCACAGACAAACAAAAAGACAGCAGTAACCTCTGCAGACTTAAGTGTCCCTGTCTGACAGCTTTGAAGGAGCAGTGGTTCTCCCAGCACGCAGCTGGAGATCTGACAACCGGCAGACTGCCTCCTCAAGTGGGTCCCTGACCCCTGACCCCCGAGCAGCCTAACTGGGAGGCAACCCCCAGCAGGGGCACACTGACACCTCACACGGCAGCGTATTCCAACAGACCTGCAGCTGAGGGTCCTGTCTGTTAGAAGGAAAACTAACAAACAGAAAGGACATCCACACCGAAAACCCATCTGTACATCACCATCGTCAAAGACCAAAAGTAGATAAAACCACAAAGATGGGGAAAAAACAGAACAGAAAAACTGGAAACTCTAAAACGCAGAGCGCCTCTCTTCCTCCAAAGGAACACAGTTCCTCACCAGCAACGGAATAAAGCTGGATGGAGAATGACTTTGATGAGCTGAGAGAAGAAGGCTTCAGATGATCAAATGACTCTGAGCTACGGGAGGACATTCAAACCAAAGGCAAAGAAGTTAAAAACTTTGAAAAAAATTTAGAAGAATGTATAACTAGAATAACCAATACAGAGAAGTGCTTAAAGGAGCTGATGGAGCTGAAAACCAAGGCTCGAGAACTACGTGAAGAATGCAGAAGCCTCAGGAGCCCATGTGATCAACTGGAAGAAAGGGTATCAGCAATGGAAGATGAAATGAATGAAATGAAGCGAGAAGGGAAGTTTAGAGAAAAAAGAATAAAAAGAAATGAGCAAAGCCTCCAAGAAATATGGGACTATGTGAAAAGACCAAATCTACGTCTGATTGGTGTACCTGAAAGTAATGGGGAGAATGGAACCAAGTTGGAAAACACTCTGCAGGATATTATCCAGGAGAACTTCCCCAATCTAGAAAGGCAGGCCAACGTTCAGATTCAGGAAATACAGAGAATGCCACAAAGATACTCCTCGAGAAGAGCAACTCCAAGACACATAATTGTCAGATTCACCAAAGTTGAAATGAAGGAAAAAATGTTAAGGGAAGCCAGAGAGAAAGGTCAGGTTACCCTCAAAGGGAAGCCCATCAGACTAACAGCGGATCTCTCGGCAGAAACCCTACAAGCCAGAAGAGAGTGGGGGCCAATATTCAACATTCTTAAAGAAAAGAATTTTCAACCCAGAATTTCATATCCAGCCAAACTAAGCTTCATAAGTGAAGGAGAAATAAAATACTTTACAGACAAGCAAATGCTGAGAGATTTTGTCACCACCAGGCCTGCCCTAAAAGAGCTCCTGAAGGAAGCGCTAAACATGGAAAGGAACAACCGGTACCAGCCGCTGCAAAATCATGCCAAAATGTAAAGACCATCGAGACTAGGAAGAAACTGCATCAACTAACGAGCAAAATCACCAGCTAACATCATAATGACAGGATCAAATTCACACATAACAATATTAACTTTAAATGTAAATGGACTAAATGCTCCAATTAAAAGACACAGACTGGCAAATTGGATAAAGAGTCAAGACCCATCAGTGTGCTGTATTCAGGAAACCCATCTCACGTGCAGAGACACATAGGCTCAAAATAAAAGGATGGAGGAAGATCTACCAAGCAAATGGAAAACAAAAAAAGGCAGGGGTTGCAATCCTAGTCTCTGATAAAACAGACTTTAAACCAACAAAGATCAAAAGAGACAAAGAAGGCCATTACATAATGGTAAAGGGATCAATTCAACAAGAAGAGCTAACTATCGTAAACATATATGCACCCAATACAGGAGCACCCAGATTCATAAAGCAAGTCCTGAGTGACCTACAAAGAGACTTAGACTCCCACACATTAATAATGGGAGACTTTAACACCCCACTGTCAACATTAGACAGATCAACGAGACAGAAAGTCAACAAGGATACCCAGGAATTGAACTCAGCTCTGCACCAAGCGGACCTAATAGACATCTACAGAACTCTCCACCCCAAATCAACAGAATATACATTTTTTTCAGCACCACACCACACCTAGTCCAAAATTGACCACATACTGGGAAGTAAAGCTCTCCTCAGCAAATGTAAAAGAACAGAAATTATAACAAACTATCTCTCAGACCACAGTGCAATCAAACTAGAACTCAGGATTAAGAATCTCACTCAAAACCGCTCAACTACGTGGAAACTGAACAACCTGCTCCTGAATGACTACTGGGTACATAACGAAATGAAGGCAGAAATAAAGATGTTCTTTGAAACCAATGAGAACAAAGACACAACATACCAGAATCTCTGGGACGCATTCAAAGCAGTGTGTAGAGGGAAATTTATAGCACTAAATGCCCACAAGAGAAAGCAGGAAAGATCCAAAATTGACACCCTAACATCACAATTAAAAGAACTAGAAAAGCAAGAGCAAACACATTCAAAAGCTAGCAGAAGGCGAGAAATAACTAAAATCAGAGCAGAACTGAAGGAAATAGAGACACAAAAAACCCTTCAAAAAATTAATGAATCCAGGAGCTGGTTTTTTGAAAGGATCAACAAAATTGATAGACCTCTAGCAAGACTAATAAAGAAAAAAAGAGAGAAGAATCAAATAGATGCAATAAAAAATGATAAAGGGGATATCACCACCGATCCCACAGAAATACAAACTACCATCAGGGAATACTACAAACAACTCTACGCAAATAAACTAGAAAATCTAGAAGAAATGGATAAATTCCTGGACACATACACTCTCCCAAGACTAAACCAGGAAGAAGTTGAATCTCTGAATAGACCAATAACAGGAGCTGAAATTGTGGCAATAATCAATAGCTTACCAACCAAAAAGAGTCCAGGACCAGATGGATTCACAGCCGAATTCTACCAGAGGTACAAGGAGGAACTGGTACCTTTCCTTCTGAAACTATTCCAATCAATACAAAAAGAGGGAATCCTCCCTAACTCATTTGATGAGGCCAGCATCATCCTGATACCAAAGCCGGGCAGAGACACAACCAAAAAAGAGAATTTTAGACCAATATCCTTGATGAACATTGATGCAAAAATCCTCAATAAAATACTGGCAAAACGAATCCAGCAGCACATCAAAAAGCTTATCCACCATGATCAAGTGGGCTTCATCCCTGGGTTGCAAGGCTGGTTCAATATACGCAAATCAATAAATGTAATCCAGCATATAAACAGAGCCAAAGACAAAAACCACATGATTATCTCAATAGATGCAGAAAAAGCCTTTGACAAAATTCAACAACCCTTCATGCTAAAAACTCTCAATAAATTAAGTATTGATGGGACGTATTTCAAAATAATAAGAGCTATCTATGACAAACCCACAGCCAATATCATACTGAATGGGCAAAAACTGGAAGCATTCCCTTTGAAAACTGGCACAAGACAGGGATGCCCTCTCTCACCACTCCTATTCAACATAGTGTTGGAAGTTCTGGCCAGGGCAATGAGGCAGGAGAAGGAAATAAAGGGTATTCAATTAGGAAAAGAGGAAGTCAAATTGTCCCTGTTTGCAGATGACATGATTGTATATCTAGAAAATCCCATTGTCTCAGCCCAAAATCTCCTTAAGCTGATAAGCAACTTCAGCAAAGTCTCAGGATACAAAATCAATGTACAAAAATCACAAGCATTCTGATACACCAACAACAGACAAACAGAGAGCCAAATCATGAGTGAACTCCCATTCACAATTGCTTCAAAGAGAAGAAAATACCTAGGAATCCAACCTACAAGGGATGTGAAGGACCTCTTCAGGGAGAACTACAAACCACTGCTCAAGGAAATAAAAGAGGATACAAACAAATGGAAGAACATTCCATGCTCATGGGTAGGAAGAATCAATATCGTGAAAATGGCCATACTGCCCAAGGTAATTTACAGATTCAATGCCATCCCCATCAAGCTACCAATGACTTTCTTCACAGAATTGGAAAAAACCACTTTAAAGTTTATATGGAACCAAAAAAGAGCCCGCATCGCCAAGTCAATCCTAAGCCAAAAGAACAAAGCTGGAGGCATCACACTACCTGACTTCAAACTATACTACAAGGCTACAGTAACCAAAACAGCATGGTACTGGTACCAAAACAGAGATATAGATCAATGGAACAGAACAGAGCCCTCAGAAATAACGCCGCATATCTACAATTATCTGATCTTTGACAAACCTGAGAAAAACAAACAATGGGGAAAGGATTCCCTATTTAATAAATGGTGCTGGGAAAACTGGCTAGCCATATGTAGAAAGCTGAAACTGGATCCCTTCCTTACACCTTATACAAAAATCAATTCAAGATGGATTAAAGACTTAAACGTTAGACCTAAAACCATAAAAACCCTAGAAGAAAACCTAGGCATTACCATTCAGGACATAGGCATGGGCAAGGACTTCATGTCTAAAACACCAAAAGCAATGGCAACAAAAGCCAAAATTGACAAATGGGATCTAATTAAACTAAAGAGCTTCTGCACAGCAAAAGAAACTACCATCAGAGTGAACAGGCAACCTACAAAATGGGAGAAAATTTTCGCAACCTACTCATCTGACAAAGGGCTAATATCCAGAATCTACAATGAACTCAAACAAATTTACAAGAAAAAAACAAACAACCCCATCAAAAAGTGGGTGAAGGACATGAACAGACACTTCTCAAAAGAAGACATTTATGCAGCCAAAAAAACACATGAAAAAATGCTCACCATCACTGGCCATCAGAGAAATGCAAATCAAAACCACAATGAGATACCATCTCACACCAGTTAGAATGGCAATCATTAAAAAGTCAGGAAACAACAGGTGCTGGAGAAGATGTGGAGAAATAGGAACACTTTTACACTGTTGCTGGGACTGTAAACTAGTTCAACCGTTGTGGAAGTCAGTGTGGCCATTCCTCAGGGATCTAGAACTGGAAATACCATTTGACCCAGCCATCCCATTACTGGGTATATACCCAAAGGACTATAAATCATGCTGCTATAAAGACACATGCACACGTATGTTTATTGCGGCATTATTCACAATAGCAAAGACTTGGAACCAACCCAAATGTCCAACAATGATAGACTGGATTAAGAAAATGTGGCACATATACACCATGGAATACTATGCAGCCATAAAAAATGATGAGTTCATGTCCTTTGTAGGGACATGGATGAAATTGGAAATCATCATTCTCAGTAAACTATCGCAAGAACAAAAAACCAAACACCGCATATTCTCACTCATAGGTGGGAATTGAACAATGAGATCACATGGACACAGGAAGGGGAATATCACACTCTGGGGACTGTTGTGGGGTGGGGGGAGGGGGGAGGGATAGCATCGGGAGATATACCTAATGCTAGATGACGAGTTAGTGGGTGCAGTGCACCAGCATGGCACATGTATACATATGTAACTAACCTGCACAATGTGCACATGTACCCTAAAACTTAAAGTATAATTAAAAAAAAAAAGGGCTTGGTACAGAGACTGGTACATGATGAATGTTCACAAAATATTAGCTACTTCTATTTTGCTGATGATAATCATGAATATATCTACTACCTACACCAGGTAACAATTAATCCACTCTAACTTGCTTAGAACATACTTGAACCAAAGCTTTACAATGCAACACCCACAGAATATTTAGGACATGAAACATAGAGAAAATCTTAAATGTTTTAAAAAATGGAATGTACATGTCATTTGTTATGCATAGCCTCATTTGTTCTCTAGTTTCTAAGTGCAGCTTATAGGGGAATTGAAGGAAGAAAAGTACTAATACAGGAAGGAAAAAATCAATCTGATGGACACGAATACAGCCACCAAACTAGCCGAGGGATTTATTCGATGACACTGTTTTAATGTTAACCTTCACTCATATCATTTATTATTTGGGGAACTGCTGTAGAAAGTGAATAGAATAATGGTGTTTTTATGGCTCCTAATGTAGATTGTTATTGAAAATCTGTCAATTTTACTGGCAAGCTTTTGGCTCAAAAATAAGATCATCATTTATAATTTGCAGGCAGTGATAACTACAAATTATGGGAAGTAACTAGAAAATAAAATAACTGTTATGATGAAAATTACATAATTATCTTTCTCATTAAAAACATGAGGTATTCTATTATCCTTGGGATGTGCAGTAGACTCTTTAACAGCTGCTATTACCAAACTAAAACACATCAGAACAGGAAAGAAAATACAACACTCATCACCCAAATGATGAAAAAGAGATACTGCTAAAAACATGGGTGGAACAGAACGGAACACAGCAGGATGTATTGCCGGCATCTGTAAACCACACGGGAACCACTTACAGATGCTTCGGGGATCGAGCTCAGCCTTTCCCCTGAGATTTCTTTCAGGGAGGTTTTGTTTAGTGAAGCTGGCACTTGCTGGGCTGATAGATCCTTCGCTTTGATTACGGGCTCTGGAGTTTTCTGACAGGACCCACACCTTCTTCCAGTTGGAGAAAGGCATGTTGTAGGCAACAAACTCATTTCAAAGTTATTTCTATCTATTTGCTCCATCGAGGAATCCTGGCTTTCTGTTGCTCCTGCTTCTGTGTAGGCGCTCCTTAGATATTCCTTACTTGTCCGCTTTGCAGCCTTCCCCAGCAGGCTCTCTAATGTTAACTGAGTTAACTCTGAAGGACCAGTTGTTGGGCCTCGAGAACCCTGGATACTGTGGTTACCCTATGTTGGGGAACAAAGTAAAAATAATTTTGAGCAGAAATTTGTGGTGAATAAGTTACTGAGTACAAGTTCTTAATAAATTCATATTTTCTATGAATAAAGCAAAAGCATCTATATATAGATTTTACTTTAATCTGCAAAGAAAAACATGAGTAACTAAAAGTAGCAATGCAAACAGTTATAAGCCATTTGCTAAAATGTCCTGCTATACGGTATTTGGTCTGGATAAGGCATATTTTTTACTCATGAAAAACAAGAGAACATTTAAGAAGTAGTTACTCATATTCATTCCAAAAAATGTCTAAAAGAAGAGGATCCAGAGCAAGTCATCTAAAACATCTAAGAATCGTATACTTTGACTTTCTGATAAGTTAACTCCATGGAAAAAGAAACAACTAAAACTTATGGTATTTAGCCTACTTAAGCAGAGAAATGGTACTCTATTAATAAATACAAGTGGGTCTAGGGAAGCATTTTTACCTTATTGTAGGGCAGTTTTGTTTTTCAAGAGCAATGGATAATGGAACATGTTTTATAAAGTATTTTTCTTACATGAAAATTTTAGTTTTAGAAAGTATATTTTTCCACAAAATATGAACGTCATTAAATATAAATACTTGGAAAGCTGAAAATGAAAGCTACAATAATTTTACAAGTCCACAGTTCTGTGATTTTCCATAGAAATGCAAAAGTTTAAATTTTTAAAATCTGATAAAGGCAGAATTACAAACATGAAATCAATGGCAATGAAAGTAGATAATGAAAATGAGAAATGTAGTGCTATTTCAATTGGTAGATTTTTATGTTATAAAATAATACATTTAAACTGTGTGATCACTGCATATACTTGTCATGGTAGATTCTTCGAATTTGACTCATTTATTTAAATATATATGGCCAGGCATGGCAGCTTATGCCTGTAATCCCAGCACTTTCAGAGGCCAAGGCAGGTGGATCACCTGAGGTCGGGAGTTCGAGACCAGCCTGACCAACATGGAGAAACCCTGTCTCTACTGAAAAAATACAAAATTATCTGGGCGTGGTGATGCTTGCCTGTAATCCCAGCTACTCGGGAGACTGAGGCAGGAGAATTGCTTGAACCTGGGAGGCGGAGGTTGCAGTGAGGCAAGATCATGCCATTGCACCCCAGCCTGGGCAACAACAGCAAAACTCCATCTCAAAAAAAAAAAAAAAAGACAAAACAACAAAAAAAACCAACCAACCAACCAAACAAAATATATAATAAATGGATGTGAAATGATAAACTTAGAATAGAGAAAAAACAAAAAAGCACAGTCCATTTTGAAGACATTATTTGGTGTCTGACAATGCGTATCTTGACATTCAGTTTCAGTAAGCTATTCCTTCACCCTTCAATTTATAGACACACAGAACCCAGAATCTAGTTATTTCTAAGGGTTGGCATTTTAAAAACAAATATTTGGGTGACTGATTGAACTGTTCAATTTCTTCCTGAATGTTTTACCATCATACACACTCAACATAATGGTGGCAGTCTCCGGTGAAATCTTCCTTTCAGAAGTGAAGCATGGGTAAAGGTGAGAGGGTTTGCTCTCAGTTGGGCAGGGGACAAGGGAGAGATCTACAAAAGCTTTTAATTAGAGGGGATCTATCTTATCATTTTTCTGTTTTCCTTTCTTCTTCATCACGGGCCAAGTACATCTAGGTGCTGCAGATTCTCGGAATGTAATGATAGACCAGAACATAATCCCTGCCATCCAGGGACTGTATTCTGAAGGCAAAGAGGAGTCATTGTGTGAAGTAGGGGAATGTCACAATGACACACAATAGAAGGCATGGGTATACGTTTATGGATACTGTTTGTGGAGTGTCTGGGTTGGCTTGTGGAGACAGTAGAACTGGAGGCCAATCAGTAGACTATTGTATTGTTATTAGGATTGTTGAGGTGCCTGAATTAAGGCAATGGCAGTGATGATATAGAAGCTGGACTGGTTTGAGAGTTCAAGTCAGTATGTCAAAGGCAGAGTATATCATACTGAGTAATTCTTGCAGTCTCTTACACAGAGTATGAGATCCTTAACCCATGCCCTGTTATAATTTTTTCTTTTTGTGAAATGTAGTTGAGATTAGCAGACAACTGTGCTCTCAAGAAAGGTCCAAAGTTGGACTTCAAAAAGCTCCAGGAAATTAAAAGATAAAAACAAAAAATATAAACTTTATTTCTCAACATAAGCTCCACCAAGTTCAAGACACTTTTGTAAGCCAGGATGTCAGCCATTTAGTCCATCCCTAAGAAACTGAGGATCCTGGGAATATAACCACGTCGATGTACTCTTTTTTTATATTACTAACTGAAAAAAAAACATGCCTCTTAAAGATTTTTAAGATTATAAAACAAAAAGGAGTCAGAAGGAGTCAAACCAGGGTTATAAGGTGGATACCTAATGATTTCCCAACAAAACTCTTGCAAATTTGAACTTTTTGATGAGAGAAGTGAGTAGGAGCATTGTCGTGGTGGAGAAAGACTGTGGGGAAGCTTTTGTGGGTGTTTTTCAGCGAAAGCTTTGGCTAACTTTCTCAAACCACTCTTATAATAAGCAGATGTTCTTGTTCTTTCACCCTCCAGAAAGTCAACAGCAAAATGCCTTGACCAATGCCCAAAACCATTGCCATGACCTTTGCTGCTGACTGGTCCACTTTTGCTTTGACTGGGCCACTCCAACCTCTTAGTAGCCATTGCTCTGATTGTGCTTTGTCTTCAGGATCATAGTGGTAAAGCCATGTTTCTTCTCCTGTGACAATTCTTCAAGGAAATGCTTCAGGATCTTGATCCCACTTGTTTAAAATTTCCATTGAAAGCTCTGCTCTTGTCTGCAGGTGATAGTTAGAAGAGCTAACTATCCTAAATATATATGCAACCAATACAGGAGCACCCAGATTCATAAAGCAAGTCCTGAGTGACCTACAAAGAGACTTAGACTCCCACACATTAATAATGAGAGACTTTAACACCCCACTGTCAACATTAGACAGATCAACGAGACAGAAAGTCAACAAGGATACCCAGGAATTGAACTCAGCTCTGCACCAAGCGGACCTAATAGACATCTACAGAACTCTCCACCCCAAATCAACAGAATACACATTTTTTTCAGCACCACACCTATTCCAAAATTGACCACATACTTGGAAGTAAAGCTCTCCTCAGCAAATGTAAAAGAACAGAAATTATAACAAACTATCTCTCAGACCACAGTGCAATCAAACTAGAACTCAGGATTAAGAATCTCACTCAAAACCGCTCAACTACATGGAAACTGAACAACCTGCTCCTGAATGACTACTGGGTACATAACGAAATGAAGGGAGAAATAAAGATGTTCTTTGAAACCAACGAGAACAAAGACACAACATACCAGAATCTCTGGGATGCATTCAAAGCAGTGTGTAGAGGGAAATTTATAGCACTAAATGCCCACAAGAGAAAGCAGGAAAGATCCAAAATTGACACCCTAACATCACAATTAAAAGAACTAGAAAAGCAAGAGTAAACACATACGAAAGCTAGCAGAAGGCAAGAAATAACTAAAATCAGAGCAGAACTCAAGGAAATAGAAACACAAAAAACCCTTCAAAAATTAATGAATCCAGGAGCTGGTTTTTTGAAAGGATCAACAAAATTGATAGACCGCTAGCAAGACTAATAAAGAAGAAAAGAGAGAAGAATCAAATAGACACAATAAGAAATGATGAAGGGGATATCACCACTGATCCCACAGAAATACAAACTACCATCAGAGAATACTACAAACACCTCTACGCAAATAAACTAGAAAATCTAGAAGAAATGGATAAATTTCTCGACACATACACTCTCCCAAGACTAAACCAGGAAGAAGTTGAATCTCTGAATAGACCAATAACAGGCTCTGAAATTGTGGCAATAATCAATAGCTTACCAACCAAAAAGAGTCCAGGACCAGATGGACTCACAGCCGAATTCTACCAGAGGTACAAGGAAGAACTGGTACCATTCCTTCTGAAACTATTCCAATCAATAGAAAAAGAGGGAATCCTCCCTAAATCATTTTATGAGGCCAGCATCATCCTGATACCAAAGCTGGGCAGAGACACAACCAAAAAAGAGAATTTTAGACCAATATCCTTGATGAACATTGATGCAAAAATCCTCAATAAAATACTGGCAAACCGAATCCAGCAGCACATCAAAATGCTTATCCACCATGATCAAGTGGGCTTCATCCCTGGGATGCAAGGCTGGTTCAATATACACAAATCAATAAATGTAATCCAGCACATAAACAGAACCAAAGACAAAAACCACATGATTATCTCAATAGATGCAGAAAAGGCCTTAGACAAAATTCAACAACGCTTCATGCTAAGAACTCTCAATAAATTAGGTATTGATGGGACATATTTCAAAATAATAAGAGCTATCTATGACAAACCCACAGCCAATATCATACTGAATGGGCAAAAACTGGAAGCATTCCCTTTGAAAACTGGCACAAGACAGGGATGCCCTCTCTCACCACTCCTATTCAACATAGTGTTGGAAGTTCTGGCCAGGGCAATGAGGCAGGAGAAGGAAATAAAGGGTATTCAATCAGGAAAAGAGGAAGTCAAATTGTCCCTGTTTGCAGACGACATGATTGTATATCTAGAAAACCCCATTGTCTCAGCCCAAAATCTCCTTAAGCTGATGAACAACTTCAGCAAAGTCTCAGGATACAAAATCAATGTACAAAAATCACAAGCATTCTGATACACCAACAACAGACAAACAGAGAGCCAAATCATGAGTGAACTCCCATTCACAATTGCTTCAAAGAGAAGAAAATACCTAGGAATCCAACTTACAAGGGATGTGAAGGACCTCTTCAAGGAGAACTACAAACCACTGCTCAAGGAAATAAAAGAGGATACAAACAAATGGAAGAACATTCCATGCTCATGGGTAGGAAGAATCAATATCGTGAAAATGGCCATACTGCCCAAGGTAATTTACAGATTCAATGCCATCCCCATCAAGCTACCAATGACTTTCTTCACAGAATTGGAAAAAACTACTTTAAAGTTCATATGGCACCAAAAAAGAGCCCACATTGCCAAGTCAATCCTGAGCCAAAAGAACAAAGCTGGAGGCATCAGGCTACCTGAGTTCAAACTATACTACAAGGCTACAGTAACCAAAACAGCATGGTACTGGTACCAAAACAGAGATATAGATCAATGGAACAGAATAGAGCCCTCAGAAATAATGCCACATATCTACAACTATCTGATCTTTGACAAACCTGAGAAAAACAAGCAATGGGGAAAGGATTCTCTATTTAATAAATGGTGCTGGGAAAACTGGCTAGCCATATGTAGAAAGCTGAAACTGGATCCCTTCCTTACACCTTATACAAAAATCAATTCAAGATGGATTAAAGACTTAAACGTTAGACCTAAAACCATAAAAACCCTAGAAGAAAACCTAGGCATTACCATTCAGGACATAGGCATGGGCAAGGACTTCATGTCTAAAACACCAAAAGCAATGGCAACAAAAGCCAAAATTGACAAATGGGATCTAATTAAACTAAAGAGCTTCTGCACAGCAAAAGAAACTACCATCAGAGTGAACAGGCAACCTACAAAATGGGAGAAAATTTTCGCAACCTACTCATCTGACAAAGGGCTAATATCCAGAATCTACAATGAACTCAAACAAATTTACCAGAAAAAAACAAACAACCCCATCAAAAAGTGGGTGAAGGACATGAACAGACACTTCTCAAAAGAAGACATTAATGCAGCCAAAAAACACATGAAAAAATGCTCACCATCACTGGCCATCAGAGAAATGCAACTCAGAACCACAATGAGATACCATCTCACCCCAGTTAGAATGGCGATCATTAAAAAGTCAGGAAACAACAGGTGCTGGAGAGGATGTGGAGAAATAGGAACACTTTTACACTGTTGCTGGGACTGTAAACTAGTTCAACCACTGTGGAAGTCAGTGTGGCGATTCCTCAGGGATCTAGAACTAGAAATACCATTTGACCCAGCCATCCCATTACTGGGTATATACCCAAAGGACTATAAATCATGCTGCTATAAAGACACGTGCACACATGTTTATTGCGGCATTATTCACAATAGCAAAGACTTGGAACCAACCCAAATGTCCAACAATGATAGAATGGATTAAGAAAATGTGGCACAGATACACCATGGAATACTATGCAGCCATAAAAAATGATGAGTTCATGTCCTTTGTAGGGACATGGATGAAATTGGAAATCATCATTCTCAGTAAACTATCACAAGAAGAAAAAACTAAACACCACATATTCTCACTCATAGGTGGGAAATGAACAATGAGAACACATGGACACAGAAAGGGGAACATCACAGTCTGGGGACTATTGTGGGGTGGGGGGAGGGGGGAGGGATAGCATTGGGAGATATACCTAATGCTAGATGATGAGTTAGTGGGTGCAGCGCACCAGCATGGCACATGTATACATATGTAACTAACCTGCACAATGTGCACATGTACCCTAAAACTTAAAGTATAATAAAAAAAAATAAAAAAAAGAAAGAAAAAAAGGAATGACTGTAGGAAAAAAAACTTCAAAATAAAGTAGAGATTTTCCAGTTAAAAATATAATACTGAAATAGCTAAAGGAGTAAATTAAAATAATCAATAATACTAAAAAAAAACCCCTCTCCTAACAAATAGTGTACCTCCAGTACACTAAGGATGAGAACTGCATTGTTAAGGATCTTTTATAAATATTTCTTCTTGGTATTCATCCTGGGCATACATTGTCTTTGTCTACACTAGCTTCATCTTCTGACACACACACACACACACACACACACACACACACACACACACACACACATAACTGATGGAGATACTTATCTTTCAGTGTTCCAGATAGGGTAAAGAAAAGATGTTTCTTTAAGATTGGGTGCCAATCTGTGGGCCGTTACTTTGTGGCCCAAGTGAAAAAATAAGACAGGCGAAAATATTTTTGCAAATGTAACAATCCCTGCATGACCTCAGCTGCAGGCACTGGGCAACCCTCTCTGCTGTAGGCCACTTATGGGGTGAGCTTGTCCTTCCCCACCAGTCTGGGCACCCTAGGATGTTCATATGGTTGAAGAACTCTGCCTTCAGGCAGAAAACTCGAAAGACTGTCAGAGCTATCTGAAAAAATGCCCAGTGTTCTAAATCACTAGGTAATAGAGTGGTGACTCTTGCAATTTTTTTTTCATAGAGATAAAGAATAAAAGCTTAGTCTTTGTCTAGAGAAGATGGTAAACAAAAAATAGAGTAAACATTCCCCAAGTCCTAGTTCTAAGATGGTATTGGTAGAACTAGCATAGATGTTTTTTAATTTAGTCTGGTAGCGAGACAGGGCTATCTTTTCTCTAATTTTTTAAAATATTGCAGTTTATTTTCCTGTAATTGTCATACACAATTGGCAGTGGGATTTCTGTGATCAAAAGATCCTCTACTCATTCATTTCCATCATAAAAAATGAAGACTTGTTATTCTGTATATGACGTAGGTAGAAACTGGAGGTGTTTTCAGTAAACATTAATGCAATAGATGTTTATTAAGCTCCTACTCTGTGTGAGGCAATTTCTAGACACTATACAAGATACACAGGTAAGGACAGGGCCACTCCTTCAAGACATATAAAGTCTAACAGAGAAATGATACCTAAAAAGTGATAACATCATAAGGTAGAAGATAGTAAATGTCATTTTAGGAATTTCAGATGTACTATTTTGGGAATTTAGAGGGCTGCATGGAAAACTAGATGTTTGTCACATCATTCAGAAAACACCTTAAAATCAATGCATTTGGTAAGAAGTGTATTTTTCCACCTGTGATGGGTCAGAGTACAGCCTTTTCTTCCTTCTAGCAGTTTACTCAGGTGGAAAGCATTTCTCTTTGCTTGGCATGAGCAGTTGATTATATACATAGACATATTCATGAGTATGTACATGGACATTCATCTTACATTTTTCCTAAGGAATACTCTGGTTTGGAGATCAGCCGAGAAGCAGATGGATTTAGCTGTGTACCCTGATGAGCATTCTCCTGGTTGCACTGCATTTCCACAGTAATACATTTCCATGCTATTTTAAATATATGGAAAGAATAAATAACTGGAGAATCTGGACAGGGTACAAAGGCTTGTTTGCCTTGGCTGCCCTAGAACTGCTAATTCTGGTTTCAGATTCTGAAAGAGAAACTGGGATGAATGAGAAAGGCAAGATGACATAGGAGACTATATTTGAGTAGTGTTCTAATTTGCATTGGGTCAGCTTCTCATTTAGAGAAGAAATAAATGGAGAATTAAAAAAAGTACAGTATTTATTAGGAGTGGGTGCACTGGCATAACCCTATTCCTCTCTTTGCATTGTTATGAGAAGAAGAGGCATGCTTTTGCCTCTTTAATAAGGTAGAGATGATGTTTATTGATTTCACGTATGTAATTCATTTGGGCTCAACATGTTCTGGGATGAATTTTTTTCTATATAACATATAAATTTATTATGTGCATGAGAAGTTAGTGTATCATGACCTGGTTGAAAAATAACCACCTTTCTCCTTTTAGTTTATCATTTAGCTACTGAAAACCTGTACAGCAATTGAATATAATTTGTCAGAGTAGCAAAGAAGTTGTCATGCCATTTTCACATTCCAATCATTTGTTCATCTGTTTCTCAGAAGAACAAATACAAAATGCTTTTGATTTAACTTAATATGTTTTTTTAAAGTCCCAAATCTCTTGAACCGTTTGTCTTCTGGGCTCAGAAACATTTGTTTGTTAAATATTCAGTCACGCCCCAGTGCCAGGAACATCAATAGAGTTTGCCTGATTAACTGTAGCACAGCATATGTATGCCGAAGATGAGAATGATTTCCCCAAGGAGCCAGCACTTCCTCTGCTGAACTACATTTCTTAAAAGGACATGCAGATGGGCATTTAGACAATAATTTCTGGCTACACAAAATGGATTGCTCTTGCTGAGTTGTAATTTTAAACAGATAATTTTAATGACTCTTGAGGGCCACCTACTTGGAGCAGATGGGACCCAGGCTCTTTGTACCACAACTTTAATGTTGAGTGAATCAGAATAGAACTCTATTTAGCCTTTGTAAAAGTGGATGATAATATTTATTCATATTTCAATGGAGTTTTAAATTCAATCCACCATGAAAAAAATCTTATGTAAAAGTCTTAAAAATTCTGTAAAAAAACACATCTGCAATATTCAAAATACACTTTTGATGGTAGTTTTGAATTTGTAATTGAGATTGAGTCAACAGGAGTTTTTAGTTTTGTCCATCATGTTAGTAACTAAGTGTGTGGATTGACAGCACCTTTTAGTTGAACATCAGCACTAGCAAACAACAGAGCTAGTATATGTATACTTCTGTTGTTGACTAAAGAGCACAGTTATTTGCACAAATTCAGCTAAAGACAGTCCTAACAGAATGAAAAAAATAATTTCTTCTTTGATGATAACAAGACTGGCAATTCAAATGTATCTTAAAAGTTTTCATAACAACCATCCCAAGAAGTACTTGTGCTTCTACTTGAATTTTGTAGCAAATGATGAAAGTAATACAATTTCCTCTGGGTGACAAAGATAAGTGATAGTTGTGTCTTATAATACATTTTACGAGTTTGTAAACAAATAAAATAAAAGGAAGATACCACAGTTTTAAACAAGTAACTAACCTGCAGCATGCCTGATATTAAAAAGGTTTGGCCAAATTACTTTCATGACATCTTTACCTATAGCAAATGATACTTTACAGACAAATCATAGCATAAGTTACAGGTACTGTGTGGGAAGGGCACAATCATCATATGAATATTTTGGCAAAGTGATTAGGCTTTTCTAATTTTTCAAGGCAAAACATATTTTTCTATAAGTTAGACTTCATGTTCTTTTAACTGACAACACTTTAAAGATTTCTTGTGAAAACTATCTACAAGCAAATGCTTATCTGCAAGATGTCTATCATTTAGCAAAAATGGTAGAATATTAGATTGCAAATAGACAAGCATTTTGTAACTTTCTTCATCTGCCTATAACAATACAAAGCCAAGTCACAAGGACCAAGAGACCTGTGACTTTTTCAGAGAAGAGCTTCAATAGATAATAATAAAGACATGTAGATGTGAACAGCCTAAAAAGATTACTCATACTGAGTAAACATTAATTTGCCTGGTAGGTATACAGAATATGTTATGTTCTAATTCATAATACATAGGAATAAAAATGCAAGGCAGTATATTCAAAATAGAGTCTTTTCATTTTTTCCCAACACATAAACTAAATTTAAAAGTATCTGAAGGCTACATAGAAATATAAGAAGACTACTGTCAACTAAATATTCCTTTCCACCGTGTGTATGTAAGTGTGTGTGAGAAAGCAATTAAAAATCATTACTTGGCCAGGCGCGATGGCTCATGCCTGTAATCCCAGCACTTTCGGAAGCCGAGGCAGGCAGATCACGAGGTCAGGAGATCGAGACCATCCTGGCCAACATGGTGAAACCCCGTCTCTACTAAAAATACAAAAATTAGCCAGGCGTGGTGGTGTGTACCTGTAATCCCAGCTACTTGGGAGGCTTAAGCAGGAGAATTGCTTGAACCAGGGAGTCGGAGGTTGCAATGAGCAGAGATCCCACCACTGCACTCCAGCCTGGCTACAGGGCAAAACTCCATCTCAAAAAAAAAAAAAAAAAAAGAAAGAAAAAAGAAAAAAAAATCATTACTCAAGTATGTAGGGGTGAGTGTTTATAGTATAATCCAGAAATATATGCTAACAAAAAGTATTTAAAATGAAATAGCTTAACTACTGACTGCTAAAAAAAACTCTTGAAAGCAATGACAAGAAAGCTGGGAGGGTGGACGAAAATGGTCATTTTAATCTGCTGTTTGTATATTTATCCTTTGCAGGCTTCCATAGAGTTAGAAGGAGAGAAGATACAAAAGCCTTCCGGCTAATCTGAACACTACAGGTAGTCAGTCCACATAATTCATGTCCAAATATGAATAAATTCGGGGGTCCAAATGTTCCAATTTGGACTGTTACACAAGACAAATTACTTGGCCTTGCAAATATCTGCTTCAATATGTGATACACAACCAGAATTCAGGGAAAAAATGGTAGTATTTCTAGGTGAAAACTTGAATTAGGGGAATAATAAAATATTAACATAAGGCTAATGATTTCAAGCTGCAAAACCAGGTGTATACACTAGAAGCCACGATGGGAATAATAACATAAAATACAAAATAGAGACAATAACAGTTGCATGCTTTCGTTTCTTTCAGATGTTGCAATAATATGAAAAGCACTCTATTTTAATAGCTTTCCTAAAAAATTCATTTTACATGGTAGTCTTGATTTTATAGCTCACTAGGAAATATTGTTTCTGTAGTATATTTTTCAAATAAGAACAACTTCAAAATTAATAGAGTACCAGAAATATTAGTATATATGGCTGCCTACGGAATAAAATATATGATAAAGCAAAGAGTAAGGTAAGGTTATATGCAAAAAATTCATACTTTTGAGGCTCCAACACTAAGATCTCAGATGTGAATTAATGATTAGCAACTTCAATTACAATGACAATGTATTGCTGAAAGCTAATTTTAATTAGCTTTTACTGTTGTATGGGTACTTGTCTTCTATCCTAATAATATGATTTGATTTTGCCTAGTTTATATGTTACTAAATACATCTCATTTTCCTTTAAAAATACTCAATGGGCTAACATCAAATAAAGTCTTTTAATTACACTTTATAAACTTCAAGCATAATAATATAATTGTTATTCACTTGTCCACCATTATTTACAACTTGACATTATGTTTTCCTGAAGTATAATTATACAAAGATAAGGATGTAACATTCTAAAATAATGCAATTAATAGTAAGGATGCCTTAATTAACTAAACTGATTTTTCTTCAAAGACTATATGTAAATAAACATTGTAAATATGTAGCCTAATTTCCCATTGATTTATACAATTAATAAATAGAAGAAGCTATCCTACAGGAAAAGAAATTACCAAAAGTACAAAAGAAAAAATCCAATTTTGTTAAGAAGGTATCATTACACATGCTAAAACTTGTTTAAATATAGCCTAGCATTTTTGTTGGTCCTATTTTTGTATCTTAGCTTGTATCTCGTTAGTCTCTGTACCAGCAAACCCCAAAGCTTGATAATGTGGCAGGTGTTTCCCCTCTCTCTGGCTGCCACTCTTAGTAGGCTCTGATTAAAGGGTGGTGAGTGCCAGTGTTGGCAATGGGATGGTCTCACCACAGACTCTAGCCGTATGCTACTGGTCACCTTGATGGGCATGGCACAGGGGTGACCAGATAGCCCTGCCAGTGAAAGCTTGGGTAATGCATGATAAATTTGTTTTCAATTTTATGTAGTTGGTAACAAATACACATCTGCATAATAAACGTTGAAGGATGTCAGAGGCAGAGTAGCTACAGCAAAAGAAAGCATTAAGTGATATCAAATTAAAATATTCAGAGCTAGTATTCTTCATTTTCCCATGAAGCTCTACTGTTTCTTCTAAAGGCTTAGCCTTCCTATAGATGGAAGAGGTAAGTTCTTCATGTGGTGTATTTAAAGGGCAGATTATCCATAATACTTCTCTCATAGTTTTCCAGAGAACTACCATTTCCCACCTACCATGAAATGCCCACTATTAGAGTAATGCTTTTGCATTAGTAAGAGAGATTGTGCTGTGCATATGGGAAGGGGATGAGTCTATTCTATTCATAAAATGAACTGAATTAATCAGCCAGTTTAGACCATGGAAGGATTATCAGCTGGGATGAGGACACTATTAGGTGCTGAAGACAAATGTCCATGTTTTTATAGCTTTATGTTATTAAAGGTGAAAGGAACAAATGTGTCCAGCAGCAACACTTAAAATGCTAGCATCAAATGCACTATTTATGTATAAAAGGATTTGCAGTAGGTTATGTTTGGTATGACTAATTGTTTCATGACACTCAGAAGCAAGAATATTGTGAAAAGACGATCCTCTACGCGCTTTGCTGAAGAAACTCATTAAAAGTTGAAAAAACCCAGAATTACTGCTTAAACAATCCCACTATATTCTCAACTGCCTCCGAAGGTTGGTGCTATGGACTTAATCTGTGCCTCACTGTCCAAAAAGGATTCTTAATCAGTTACGTTATAAAAATATTTTGTGGGCACATATAAAAAGGTTTTCTAGTTATTTCTATAATTTCTATATAGAAAAGCTTTGTACATTTTCACTAACCCTAAAGTTGTTCGTATTCTGCTTTTAGAATAAATTTTTCCAGAAAGTATGAATGACCATCGTTAAAAATAATGCTGAAGAAAATCCACGACTAAATGCACTTCCTATGGGGAAAAAGTTATCAATGTATTAGGTTTTAAACAAATATTTCCAAATTATATTCAGTTTGATTTGAAACATTTTAAAACTTTTTACGAATTTGCTAATTTATAGGATATATCCATATTCTAAATAATTGCAAACAGAAAATCTCCTGTAAGGCAAGTCCCAGCACTAATCCACGACTCATTATCTAAACTTTAATTGGCACAACTCTTCAAATTCTGGGACCATATGGAAAATAATGAGTCCTAATAGGTCTAAGGTGAAAAGATGGCAGGGGAGTAAGGAAGCCAGAAAACCATCAATTTAGAATGCTTAGCAACTGCAACACAATTTCTCCAGAGATCTAGAACAGTATATTCTCAGTGTTTTACTGGTCTTGCTATCATAGCACTAAACTGCATATCGTTTCTCATCCTGTGATTCAAAGATTAAAATGAAAAAACAGAAAGAAACCCAAAACTGGTTTCTATAAGTAAAAGTGAAATTGGCTGACTGTTAATTAAAAAAAAAAAAAGACAGTTTAAAGTTACCATAACAACCTGATGCAACTGTGGACTGACATGGCAATCTGTTGCATTTTTATAAATAGCAGTTGATTTTCCCTCTTTCATTTCAACTTGTTTTAGTGCTTATTGGAGCTAAGGAAACAACTGTGCTTCAAGACTACTTCACTTATCAAGCAGTGTACCTCTTCACTGCTGTCGCCGCCGTAAAAATCATCCTCTGATTGGGTGTCTCTGCTTGTCACACTGTTATCCTCTTTTAGATCCAAAATAAATGAGAGCTCCTCTGGGGACATAGTCTGAGTCTTTCCATGAGGTGCTGATCGTGGTCTTGATGAAAAAGTGAAAATGTCCTTTGGAACACTCTGGGATTCCTCTGCCTGCTGGTCGTGTTCACTCTCTTTGCTGGCTTCCAGCCACAGGTGTGATGGGTTGCAGGAGTCATCACCCAGAAGTAGAGACTGTCTGCTGGATGCCAGATATGAAATGTGATCAGCATTTTCAGGAAAAATCCACTCATCTGACAGTTGGAAAAGATGACAAAAATTAGAGCAGTAATCCATAAAAGTGTTATTTTTATTTATTTATTTTTAGTTTTAGTTTTTGAGACAGTCTCACTCTGCCGCCTAGGCTGCAGTGCAGTCACGCGATCTCGGCTCACTGCAACCTCCGCCTCCCAACCTTCAAGTGATTCTCCTGCCTGAGCCTCCTGAGTAGGTGGGATTACAGGTGCACGCCATCATGCCCGGCTAATTTTTGTATTTTTAGTAGAGATGGGGTTTCACCATGTTGGTCAGGCTGGTCTTGAACTCCTGACTTCATGATCTGCCCGCCTCGGCCTCCCAAAAAGCTGGGATTACAGGCATGAGCCACCGCGCCTGGCCAAAAGTGTTATTTTAGGCAGGTAGTTAGGCTAAAATTTCTTGTTGTTGAAACAGATTTATCAAATAACGCAAAGCAAAGGAAGGCAATTTATAGACCATCTTGTAACCTGCTAAACACTCAACCCATACATCAGTGCCTATAGCTATGGGCAACTCATTTGCACTTCCTCTCCATTTGAGTTGAAACACTGACCAGGAAATTTGTAAGTCTGAAATAATTATCACCTGTCTTGCAGCAAGTTCTTTACAGGACAACCTTATTAATTTGACATTCCAGAGGGGGAAAGTCTTCCAAATTTAAAAGGGGTTGAGTTACTAATATCTCCTTTTAACTGCAGGAGGACAGAGTACTTAACCAGCTTCTTTAAAAAAATATCTGGTCTTAATTCAGATTACAAATCATGGAGGAGAGGAAGCCATGACAAGGTTGGCAGTCATTTCCTCTCTATTCTACTGATTCAAACAGGACAATTCACAGACTAAACCAAGCAGACTTTTCAAGTAATAGTAAATTCACAGAAATATTTGCTAATCCAAGCAGTGGATTCTGCTGGGTGAAAAAGGTCTTTAAGTTTACAAGAGACAATGTTTTGATATAAAAACCTTTTAGCACATTATTGTTTTCTTTAAAATACCATACACTACAGGGAAATATATATTTTTTCAAAACTTTTAAAGACTTCAATCTTTCATATCACATTGAGATAGAGTTTATAGCTCTATGATCCTGATGAATTGAAAAAGACAGATCTTTATAATGATATCGTTGAAAGCATGCTTTCTTCTTTAGAATGACAGTAGGAAAAAGGTGAGCATTTTCTCAATGTAGTCTTTTTTTTTTAAATTTGCTTTTTTTTTTTTTGCAGCTTATTTCATTGGTAAAATCTTGCAGAATCACAGTGTGGACATGGTAATTTTACACCTGATTCTTGAATCATATTATATTTATGATCACAATAAAAGTAACCAAGAGAGATCTAAGATTTGCAACTCTAAAGCCTACAATGCAAAAGCAAAAGCAAAAGAACCCATAAAAATCTTTAATAAAAATAACTTTGATGGTACAAATAAAACACAATTGCCTTTATCTGTTTCTTAACTTACGGCTACCATTACATAACATAACTTACCTGTAAAAAGGGTGATCAATGTATACTTCCTAGAGAAAACCTACTAGGGACAAGGCTTTCATATATTGAGGGACATGAGTCTGTAGGCATATGGCCAATGGCAGGCTGAGTCTAGTTCTTCTGACCACCTTCACAGAGGGGTGCAGGGGCATATGGTCCTGAGTCACTGTAGCTTTGGGCCAGTGAACTCAACGGATTCACTGGGCTCCCCTATTTTGGACAGCAAACCCTTTTGCATGGTGCTGGGTACATGACAGTGCTTTGTAAGCAAATTAGGTGCTTTACAAATGCTGAGAAATGTTACAAAAGTCAATAGGTTGCATTATGTATATGGATATGTGAAGAAAACAGAGGAAAATATACTGAGAATCTTCATTATGCACTTAAACAATTTGTATGACCTATTGCCAAACATATTATCAACTGTCAAAAAGTCAAAGTAAAAGGAGTGTTTTACACCAAACTAACTCTAATTATCTCACTGCCACATGCTTTTTATGGAATTTGCAGTTTTACCTCAAGTATTTCCATATCAATTGTAATGAATAATTTGGTGTGTTTTCTTAGAAAAATATGTAAATTACTGTGTAATCACAATATTGCAGCAAACAAGATAAATGCAAGAATGATCACCTAAACATCTAATTAGTTTTTCCACACAGTCAGATTTATGCTAGAGACACTAATTGCACCTAACATTTTAATGAAGGTTTCAACGTTGCATAAATAAGATTGACAAACCACAAACAATTTTCATTTATTTTCTTTTTTCCCTTGCTCAAAAACAATTTGCCTTTGTAAAAGTAGCACACACCTGCTAGGCAAGATATGTTGATGGGCTCAATGCTCTCAGCTCCAACCATCTCCATTATAAAGAGGACTGGAGAAACCCAACAACTGGTCATCTTTGGGGAGGGTGACCATGCCATGGGAAAATGTCAGTTTTAAACTTTCATTCTGAACAGGATGACCAGTGCATTAAAACTTGAAAATAAAAAAATACTCTTTCATCCATTAAAGTTTGACATAAAATTGAGGTTAAATAAGAAGATTTACACAAACTTACACATTTTAGCAAATCGGCTGCATCACCACTTTTCAAAATGACTGGATTTGAAATATTTACCATATTTACATTTTATTCATTATTAACAGATATGGTGTAATAAAGATGCCAACCTGATTGATCAGGAGACTGGGGTCCTAGAGTGCCGGAGTTCAACAGCTCTGCTCCTTGTTGGGACACAGTGGTGAGGATAGTTGATGCTTTATCTTCAATCCTATTATTTCCTGAAGAGCTACCTTTATTGAGATAAATATTTTCCCTCTATTACTTCTTTTGAAATTTATAAAAAGTAATTTTAGAAGAATGGTTTACTTTGGTATACTTTACTATTTGATCATTTAAAAGCAAATTAGAGGTAACAATATGAATTACATGCAGTTTTTTTTTTCAGTAGACTGTTTTAAGCTGCATTTTTATAGAGGTTCACCTTAAAATTCTTTGATACTTACACAGGGATATTTTAGATTAAAGTTTTGCAATATGTGATAAAAAGAATGCCAAAACCCATAAAATTTTTAAAGGATCTTATATTTTTTCCCTTGGGTTCCACATGAAATGAAGTGAGTTTTCTTTAAATTATAATTCTTACTAAATGGGACTCTTTTTGGCCAAGCTTTTTTCATCAGCATGTTAAGAAAATGGATCTTAAGGCATTATTGCAAAATTAATTTTTCTATCTACTCTTTTATAAAAAGCATGAAACCTAGCAGGCTAAATTTCAGCCAACCCAGGAATCTTACATTTTTGAGAAATTAGGCTAACAGATGTGTACATGATACACTGGGTGGGATTCAGGATAGACTGATATATGTGTATACTAATCTACATATACATGCCTCGAATCCAATATTTAAGGGAATAACTATAATGGCCACGTATTTGTCTAATGCTTTACCAGTTGCAAAGAGTTTAAATTTTAACCTAGAGTATAACATATGGTGAATAATCCAAAGGGAGAGACAGCAAATATAAACAACAATCTGAAAAGAGCTCAATTTAAAAAGACACAAATGAAACATAAAAATTACAATAAAGTTCCATTTTAGTAAAGTCTGCTAGTGGGAACTTCTATCACATTTGGGCCATTTTTTTCAAAAACAATAATTTAAGCTTATTCAGTCTTTGAGAGTAAAAGTAGGAATTCCTTTATTTCTGTGGTACTGTCTATTTAATCCAGCAAATCTCCATTAGGGATCTAGAGCAATTCTTTTGCAGAAAATTTGATTTCCATAATCCTTGTAGAACAGACATTTATATTTTAAATGGATTGGTTCATAATCCTTTGAAATTTACAACCTGCAGAGAGAGATTCGATTGCCCTGAATAATATACAGATATAAGATAGGATTGAAATAGTGCCATACCGCTGGGTGTCTCTGTCCTTTCTCTGCTGGTACTTTTTAACCGTAATCTTCTTCTGTTATTATTCTTATCTGCTGATGGTTCTTGAGGGGGATGCGGATGCATAATATGTAGATTGGCTGCTACATTTTCATATCAAAGCACAAAAGCCAGAACAGAAAGTGCTATATGGCTTGAAGTAACTCAGTAAATATAATTATCACTATAATGAGAATATTCATGTATAATTTTGACATAATGTGAAGATACATCAAAAATACAACTTCATAGAAAATAGGCATTTATTCCTATTCCGATATTGGGATCCTATCAGGCTTTCAAAATTACTGAAACACTTTATTCATGTAATATAACCTTATAGAGGGCTAAAGTAATTTGACTAATGTTAATCATACAACATGGCATATTAAAAAACATTACAAAATGAAACTGACAGCCAACACAGAAAAATTACTTCTTCCTTTAAAAGAGGAAGTGTCGATAACTATACTTTCAACAAGAGCATAGAGAGCAGCTTCCAAAAGAGCCCTGGAGAACTGAGGTCAAGCTGAAGAAGAACTTCTAAGTACGATTTAATTTAGCAATAATAATAATCATAGCAGCATTTAACATTTCCTGAATGCTTAATTTCTTGGTGCAATATGATACACTTAACTGGCTTTTCCCCTGAATCCTCACAATGACCCTTTGAGGCACCTGTTATTTATTATTAGTATTAGTGCCAGTAGTAATGCCATTCCCATTTTACAGAGGAGAAAACTAAGGTTCACAGCGTTTAAGAAACTTGATCAAGGCCTCACTGACAGGCAGCTAGGGCTGGATTTCTATCTATCCATTTCCTTATTTCAGTTTCATACTCCACGAGGGAAATTTTCTGTGACAGTGATCATTAATTTGTAAATAATATAAAATGAACTTAAATGTCCTCCCTTTTCAACTCTCAGTAAAGTCAGATCAGTAAGGGTAGAAAAAGTGACAGGGAATTCTAAGTCTTGGGTTCTGGTCTAAATTATTTCTAAAGGTTACAAACTGCAAATCACTTTACCTCTTTGCTTGACTTTAAATCTCTATCTGTAAAATGGAACAAAAATCCTTTTTCACTTACAGGGTTTATTTTATTTTTGTTGTTGGATCAGTGAGAGAAAAGAAAGAGTACCTTACAAATGGAAGAGATTAATTAAAAGATAATATTAAGCTAAGAACACTTAAAATGCACATGGCATTTCCAAAATACAGTGATAATGGAATGCTATTTTATTTCTACATCAGTTGCCATAAAATAAAACACAGGGTATTATAGCAATTTGAAATAATGGAGAAAACAGAATGATAGATTTCAGAAGCTAATATAAGAATTTCAAATATATTTCAAAATCAACCACCCTTTTCATTATTAAATGACAATTCTCTAGACTTAAGATCTAGACTTGAATATAACTGCTGATTTATCTTAACAAGAACATTTCTCACTATTTTCACTAGCTATCAATCTTTATGCATGATTATTTCTTACCATGAATAGGTACAGTCTGCTTTATTTGGTGAATATTTTCTTTATTTCCTTGTTCCTCAGACTCAGGTATCAGCAAGGCTGACATTTCTGTACCATTAACACACTTCTCTACAGTGGACGGCTGGCATGATCGGTTATTTTTGGACCCAACGGATCTCACTGTCTGTAAAGGAATTAATCTGTACATTTTAAAATATAGCAACTACATTTGTTTTCTGTAGAAGCTATATAGAAAACATAATATTTGGACCAATGAAGAGTGAGAAAAAAACTAGAGGAAATGAGGTTAAGATGTGAAGAAAAAGGAAATTATTATAGGAAATTAGAAATGGAAGGAGAAAAATAACGAGATAAAATAGAAGACATGCAAGTCTCCTAGACACATAAATTAAAATGTGCTTATTTGCTACACTCCATCTTCAGTAGGTAGAAGCCGAATTAAAAATCACGCGTATGTCAGAAATTCGGAGGAAATTAAAAATAAAAAACCTAACATTTGAGAATCTGTTCATCCTAAGGTGTCTGGTTATGATCCAACTCCTCTGAAAGAGACAGCAAAATGTGCTCACTTATATTTGCCTTTAAATTTTGTGAACATATTTAATGAAAAGAATACTCGAAAATGTTAATTATGTTGATATGACAAAAAGGAAACACTTTTGAAGTCTTTTAAAATCCAGAATTTCTGTTCCAAATTTATTCAAGCCTTCTGCTTTTGGCATGTAGTGTCTGTCTGTCTGTCTGTCTGTCTGTCTTTCCCTCCCTCCCTCCCTCTACAAGGGGAAGACACTCTTCCCTTACCAGGTCACTTGTGCTTAGATAAGCTCTCCAAACCTTGCTCCTACCTCGCTGGATATCTTCATGTTATTCCTTCTGCCAGAGAGTGGAGGTGGCCCAAGAACTTTGGATCCAAATGCGATATGACAAACATCTTGATTTTTACTGTTCCGTGTAATACTTGTTCCTCTGTTAATGAACTGATCTGTTTTGTTAAAGGAAGGTAATAATAGTCCATTAATGGGTGTAATGACAAACATCACACTGCAATCTTTCTAAAAATCCAGTCCAGGTGCCATAGGATCCAAATCCCCCCTCCCCCCTCAGCATGTATTAAAAACACAGATACTAGGGCCCAACATCAGAGATACATACAAGACGTATAGAATTAGGATCTCGGCAGTATCACAGTACTTTTAATAAGTCCCCCCAAGTAATTTTTATACTCACCATCATTTGAGAACCACCACCACAAAGTTTTTCTTTAAAAAAAAAAAGAAAGGGCCGGGCGCGGTGGCTCACGCCTGTAATCCCAGCACTTTGGGAGGCCGAGGCGGGTGGATCATGAGGTCAGGAGATCGAGACCATCCTGGCTAACAAGGTGAAACCCCGTCTCTACTAAAAATACAAAAAATTAGCCAGGCGCGGTGGCGGGCGCCTGTAGTCCCAGCTACTCGGGAGGCTGAGGCAGGAGAATGGCGTGAACCCGGGAAGCGGAGCTTGCAGTGAGCCGAGATTGCGCCACTGCAGTCCGCAGTCCGGCCTGGGCGACAGAGCGAGACTCCGTCTCAAAAAAAAAAAAAAAAAAAAAAAAAAAAAAGAAAAAAGGAAAAGCTACTAAAAAATACATCTTATTTTCTCTTTAAGGAAATAATTTAAATATAATTATTCAACTCAACCTAACAAATATTTAACTGAGTACTCTCTCAGGCATTTCCTAGAGGCCGTCAGTGACACAAAATGGAGAATGGAGAGGCGGATAAGACCAGTAAACAGGTCACCAATGTAAGGCAGGCCAGTGGCAATGAAGAATAAGTGACCCCTTCATGGACCCTGAATGATGGATACAATTTCAAGAATAAGAGATGTAGGATGCCCTAGGCAGAAGAAAGTACCAGAGTAAAGGCATGGAAGAAGGGAAGGGCAGGGTGTACCTGGGAGTCAGGAAGTGGCTGGTTTAGCTGGAAGGAGAGGCTAGGGTCATACTGAAAAGAGCCTTAAAATGTGAAGAGCCTATTCTAAATTTGGTAGGCAACAAGGAATCCCTGAAGGTTTTAGAGAGAAAGAGAGCAAAACAGTGTCACCTTCAGGATAGGGCAGGTGTGCTCACCAAATCCTGCTGCCTTCCCTTCTGCACACACAGCTAAATTACATTTCTGAGCATACCCTGTCGTTATATGGGCCGCATGACTGAATTCCGACTTTTCTTTTTTTTTTTTTTTTGAGACAGTCTTGCTTTTGTCACACGAGCTGGAGTGCAGTGGCATGTTCTTGGCTCACTGCAACCGCCGCCTCCTGGGTTCAAGCGATTCTCATGCCTCAGCCCCCTGAGTAGCTGGGACTAGAGGTACACGCCACCATGCCCAGCTAAGTTTTGTATTTTTAGTAGGATGGGGTTTCACCCTGTCGGCCAGGCTGGTCTCGAACTCCTGACCTCAAGTGATCCACCTGACTCAGCTTCCCAAAGTGTTGGGATTATGGGTGTGAGCCACCGCACCTGGCCCCATAGGATTGAATTCTGGCTAATGAACTGTGAGAAGTTTCAGCCATTTCCTGGCCCCCAAAACTCCCAGCAGAATCCCCCATGCTCTCTATTCCCTCGCCTCCTGACTAGATGCAGAAGATCTTGTGGAGGACTTTCAGGGCTCCAGGGAAGCCACTAGATGCAGGTCCCTGAATGACGACATAAAAGGCTTCCCAAGGAACTCCTGATTGGACTACAACTGAGGGGTTCTTTGTGACTGCAATTAGCCTCCTCTGACTAACAGGGCAGGTGAGGGTGATAGCCTTTAACTGAAAACACTGCCCATTACCTAGAAAGCCTTCTGCTGTGACCCACCTGTAAGACAGGACCAACTTAAACATTACAATGATGGTCCCAAGTAAGTCCACATTTGCCCACCAGTCCTGGACATATATAAGCTACTGGCCACTTCCTGCCTGACCTACTCCCTGCAAAAATTCCTCTAGCTAGCTAGTTGGTCTCATTAGCCTCTGCTGTAGAGCTATAATTTTACATGTAGGGGGATTAAAAACCACTCCTATGCATCAGTCTTAAAAAAAAAAAGACACATGGGTTTGTGAAAATATACCATACTCAGCAAGATCCAGATATTTAGGTCTGAGTGGAAGTAGTGTGTGTATGTATGGGTGTGTTTTGGGTCTGTTTTTGTGTTTGTAATAGATAAATCTGAAGATAAAGGCAAGGGCTAGATTGCTGAAGTGAACTGAAAGAATTTTTGCTGAACAGGAGACATGAGGTAGATGTTGAAGTCGTGAGGAGGTAAAAACCATGTCATTTTTCTTGAAATTCTGGAAGCCCTATTAGGTAGGAGAGAAATTCCATTTGTCTAAAGGGCAGAATCAGAACTAATGAGAAGAATTTACTTCAGGAAGCTTTTAGTCCAACACAAGGGTTATCTTTCTCTAAATATGTCTGGCTGTTGAGGTGATAAATTTTTTGTCATTTTGAAGGCATTTGAGCAGAAGTCTGGAGAGCTATGCTGGATGCTGTAAGGCAGGTGCTCAAGCAGAAGTCTGGATAGCTATGCTGGATGCTGTAAGGCAGCTGTTCAAGCAGAATTCCGGATTCCTATTCTGGATACTGTCAGGCAGGTCCTCAGGCAGAAGTCTGGATAGCTATTCTGGATGCTGTCAGGCAGGTCCTCAAGCAGAAGTCTGGATAGCTGTGCTGGATGCTGTAAGGCGGGTGCTCAAGCAGAAGTCTGGATAGCCATTCTGGATGCTGTAAGGCGGGTGCTCAAGCAGAAGTCTGCATAGCTATTCTGGATGCTGTAAGGCAGGTGCTCAAGCAGAAGTCTGGATAGCTATTCTGGATGCTGTAAGGCAGATGTTCAAGCAGAAGTCTGGATAGCCATTCTGGATGCTGTAAGGCGGGTGCTCAAGCAGAAGTCTGGATAGCTATTCTGGATGCTGTAAGGCAAGTGCTCAAGCAGAAGTCTGGATAGCTGTGCTGGATGCTGTAAGGCAGGTGCTCAAGCAGAAGTCTGGATAGCTATGCTGGATGCTGTAAGGCAGCTGTTCAAGCAGAATTCCGGATAGCTATTCTGGATGCTGTCAGGCAGGTGCTCAAGCAGAAGTCTGGATAGCCATTCTGGATGCTGTAAGGCAGGTGCTCAAGCAGAAGTCTGGACCAGCTATGCTGGATGCTGTCAGGCAGGTGTTCAAGCAGAAGTCTGGATCAGCTATGCTGGATGGTATAAGGCGGGTGCTCAAGCAGAAGTCTGGATAGCTATGGTGGATGCTGTCAGGCAGGTGTTCAAGCAGAAGTCTGGATAGCTATTCTGGATGTTGTCAGGCAGGTGTTCAAGCAGAAGTCTGGATAGTTATGCTGGATGCTGTCAGGCAGGTGCTCAAGTAGAAGTCTGGATAGCTATTCTGGATGCAGTTAGGCAGGTGTTGAAGCAGAAGTCTGGATAGCTGTTCTAGATGTTGTCAGGCAGGCGTTCAAGCTGAAGTCTGGATAGCTGTTCTGGATGCTGTCAGGCAGGTGTTGAAGCAGAAGTCTGGATAGCTGTTCTAGATGTTGTCAGGCAGGTGTTGAAGCAGAAGTCTGGATAGCTGTTCTAGATGTTGTCAGGCAGGTGTTCAAGCAGAAGTCTGGATAGCTGTTCTGGATGCTGTAAGGCAGGTGTTGAAGCAGAAGTCTGGATAGCTATTCTGGATGCCGTAAGGCAGATTCAGACATCAGGTGACTCCTTAATTTATATCTCTTAGCCTTGTCCTCTCTTCTGAGCTCCACTCCTTATATCCAGTAGCCTCTTTACCAGCTCCTCTTCAGTGTCTGAAAGGCACTTCAAACTGGAAACCTGGTCTAATGAATGGGACCACAATCCATCTGGTTTGAAAAGTCAGAATCTAGGTGTCATGCTTGACACCTTCCCCTGATCTCTCCATATCCCATCCATGTCCACTTCCTTCCATCTCCTCCACCAGCACTGACATCCTCTTCCTCCTGGATGATGACAAAGCCTTACTGTGTGACTTACTGTGTCCACGCTGGTGCCCCATGCCATCCCTCCTCCAAAATGCAGCCAGAGAGGTTTTATACAAACATAAATCTAATTGAGTCATTTCCTTTCCTTCACTTAAAGTTCTTCAGTGGCTTCTCTGCTGCTCTCAGGAGTAAGATGAAGGCTCTTAACATTGCCCGCAAAACCCTGCATGTTCTGACATGTCTGAGTATCTTACACCTCTCGTTTTCTGCCCTCTCGGTAGACGGGCCTTCTCAGTTCTTCCTGCCTACTAGAGTGTTTGTGTATGCTGTTCATGGCAAGAAGGCTTTTCCTTTCCCTCTTGACCTTTATGCCTCAGTTCACATATCATTTCCTCAGACAAGTCTTTGCAGACCTTTCTGATTAGGGTAAGTTCCTCCAATATAGGCTCTTCCATAAATTTTCCCTCATAGAACTTGTCAGAATTGAACTTTTACACATGTCCATGGGATTCTCTAATTAATGTGTGCTTCAGTAGACATAAACTCAGTGGCCTGCTTCTGTCACCCTGAACTGCCAGCACCTAGCCCAGTGCTTGACACAGAATAGGCACATAATAGTTCCTTGCTGAGCAAAATGAATGATTCATTAAATGAAATGAGTCAGAAGGGAAGTTGGATTAAATGACTCAAAAATGTCTAACTATGGTTTGAAGTTCATTTTAAGAGAAATCTACCTGGGAGTTCTATGTGTGAATCAAAAAGGAAGACTAGGCAGGTCTGGGCAACTCCAGGACGTGAGGGATGAGAGAGAAGGGATAACAATGAACAAAACGTTGATGTTCTCATAAATGATGATGCTCTCAACAGTAGCAGTGCTATGGCACTGCAGTCAGATGCTATTTGGATTACACATGAAATTTCCTAGTGTCACCAAATAGACTTGGTTATGTGTGCATATGTATTTTTTTTTACCAGCTATTTATATTCAACTGGAGTCAACAAAACAGTCTCTCACGATTGACAATAGGAAGAAATGACATTCACATTCCAGAGCAATTGGAAAAATCTATTATAGTCAATATTTGTGCCTTTTGTGACTAAGTAGAACAAATTCTAGACTATTCATTTGGTTCTCAAATGTTGATTTTTTCAGAGAAAAATGGGTGCGGAGAGTAATGAAGGGCTCTGTGGGACATGGTGTGGGCCTGGGAGGGATTTCTGTACCAGCACGTGGCCTTTCTTCCCTCTTCCAATCCTGGGAGCTCAATGTTCAGCTAAGGGCCATTTTTCTGTTCAAATATTTTACAAGAACAATTTCCTGATGTTTTTTCATATTCTTTCTCTATAAGGAAGTTTCCCCTCAATCGATGTAAGTTCTTTTGTAGAAAGACCATTAATTTGGCACAGTAGGTACCTCCATCAGCTGAGCCCAGCTTAGCCTATTGTAGATAATGGATAAATCTCACCAAATTATGGAAAATTAAAAATTAAAAAGAACTTTTGTGGGGAGGGAGTATTTTAGAAATCATACACAGTTCCAACTAAAATTTGACAAAATGAACATATTAACCAGTTCATAGTTATTAACAAAATTAAAACTAAATACTTCAAATTTCTTAGAGGAATCTCTTGCTTAGTAGTGGACACCCAGTGTCTATTAAAGATACACCCACACCCGATATGCTATTATTCCCAAATCACAGAAAACAGACATTCTATATTTCATAATCCTATCTACTATAGAATTTATTTAAAGAGTAATCTACCACAGTATATTTAAATTAATGTTTATTTTTAAAAATTTTGCACATTTGGTACACTTTATTTTTCACAAAGCAAAGTATACCAATATTCCACTATTTAGTATCTCTTTAATAGACCTCGTTAAACTTGTTATTATAATGAACACACCAATTCTTAAGTCCTGCTTCACTTTAAAAAATCTGTGTATAATCATATTAATTGTCACAATTATCTCTATAAACACGTATTGTGCTATGCATCTACCATAATCGGGTCCTAATTAACACCTACTAAGAAAAGTAATTTAGAACTTTGGTTTCTAAAATAAAAAGTAGATGAGACAAAGTTTCCATAATGAGAAAAATCTTAATAAAAGAAAACTACAAGCAGAAATGCATGCTTTTGAATTCTAAAAGGAGCTCTTTTAAGAGCTGATATCAATATGCATAATATAAGGTTAAAAATCAAGATTAGATTAAAGTCATGTTCTAGGCATTTCATTTCCTTGAGTTTGTGGAAAATGAACTTGGTGTAGGTCAGAGATGTTACCACTAATTATTTTCCTATTTTACTGAGGGGTACATGCCTTTGTAGTTAGATTGTAAAACCTGAGGGTCTACTCTCTAATTGTCTTTTAGAAAAATAAACATTCATTTTTGTCTCAAGATACAATGTTCTAATTATTATAGTCATTTAAATTTGCACGGTTTTCAAAGCTTAACCAGAAAAACCTGTTGAATTTTCATATCTAATCACTGAGGGGTCATGCTCAAGACTTACATCTATTATCTAACAATCAAATTAGAATTAAAGCTGGTACCAAAAGTCCAAACTTGGATTACTTTTCATTGTAGTATATGTGCATTGCTATTAAGAATGTAACAAATACAAAAAAGGCTGATCTTGTACAGCAGTATTATTTTAGAAAAGGTACTTAACCTTTCTAAGCCTCACCTCTTCATCCGTAAGACTGGGATAATCGTAGTACTGAAGTCATGGCATTTTTGTTAGAGCACATGAAACAATGCATGTAACATGTTAAACACTGTGCCCAGTAGGGAGTAATGCTATTAATACCTAGTAAATATGCTATTAACACCTTCCACCGTGAATAGTATTTAACAGTTTAGTAAGTCTGTTCACAGTCATTTATTCCTTCCTTCATCCACACTTTGAGCAGTGACCAGGCATTTAGTCGGGCATGTATTGCTCTAGTACTGTGTAAGACAGGGAGTAAGGTGGACACAGCCACCTCCTTCAAAGAGCTCACAGTCTGACGGGCAGACAGATGTTAAAGCAAATAATTTATAAATAACTACATGATTATAGCTGTGATAAGAGCTATGAAGGAACAGTCTGAAAGGTTCTAAGTGTGTTTAACAGGAGCTTCATATCTAGTCTTTGGGGTCAGAGAAATAATGTTCAACTTGAGACTTAAAGGATGATGGATATCAGGATACATGCTCAATCTTTCTGCAATTTCCAATCACCTGTGTGGTGTTATGATTTCATGACTGCAGAAGAAGAAACTGAGGCTTGCAATGTTTAGAGATCTGTCCATGCTCTGAGCGGGGGCTCAGAAGCCAAGCACCCCAATGCCTCTTTGTGTGTGTGTGTGTTTTAAATTACATATGATGATGCCCTCTGTGGATCAGGAGGACATTGAAGCAGGTTCTTCCCATATTTTCCAATTCTTCCACTTACTTCCTATGCAATTTTGTAAAGCTACTTAACTAAAAATTTTTGTTTTGCTACCTGAAAAACTGGGTTTATTAATGATTGTATAGATAAGTATTGAAACTGCACGAATATGATAATTAAGTGCATGTGATGAGGACTAATGGGGTTTATGAGGAATCCAACACAGAACATAATACCATAATATCCATTTTCAGATGGAAAAAAAATAGTGCTGTGGGGACTGGGGAGGGCATGGAAAAGGGAGCAGGGCAAATTGAAGTGGCTTCAGTGCCAGGCAGGTAACACATACGTGGCAAGCAGGCACATGCAGAATGTAGGGGAACTGTGGCTAATTTGAGAGTGCAAGCCCAATGTAAACTATTTTAATTAAAAACTTTCTTAGACCTGTTGGAGGACTGTCAGTCTGTAAACCCAGAAAACACAACGAAAAGAAAAGCAAATAGGCAAATGACTAAAGCAGGAAGGGCCCTAGGCAATTAAAATGTCTTCAACTTTTGCAAATAATTAAAACCAGAACGTAGCCTTACCTCATTAATAAAAAGTTTAAGACACTTTTTGAAAGGCAATAAAATAATATTAAAAACTAAAATTAGATCTCTTTCTCCTCTGAACTGGAGTAGGACCTTAGACAATGTATACATATCATTTTGTGGGTAAAGTTAGGATATTTAGACAAGATAAAAAGTAATAAAGCACAGGATATTGCTTTTCTTCATAAACCCTTAATTTATTAAAAAGTCAGAATTAGCCTACTTTTTTTCTTTACTCTTAATGAGCAAAGAAACTTTTTTTTAGGGAAACAAGTTTATCATTTCAAGAAAACTTTCCATTTTGAATCACTAGCACAGCTTATTTACAAGCCGTGGTAGATAATTTCCATCATTTGGGCTTGGAAATAAGGCAAGAGAAGAAGAGAAGAAAGCTTCCCAGGAAGATGATGCTTAAAACTATTACGGTCATGAGAAATTGCTTAAAGGGAGTCAGTAATTAAGAATGCACCTCTGTGCTGGGCGGGGTGGCTCACGCCTGTAATCCCATCACTTTGGGAGGCTGAGGGGGGCGGATCACAAGGTCAGGAGATCGAGACCATCCTGTGAATGGTGAAACTCCATCTCTACTAAAAATACAAAAAATTAGCCGGGCGTGGTGGTGGGCACCTGTAGTCCCAGCTACTCAGGAGGCTGAGGCGGGAGAACGGCGTGAACCCGGGAGGCGGAGCTTGCAGCGAGCCAAGATTGTGCCACTGCACTCCAGCCTGGGCAACAGAGCGAGACTTCGTCTCCGAAAAAAAAAAAAAACAAAAGAATGCACCTCTGAAACCAGCCTGCCTGGTCAAATCCTAGGCCCAATGCTCACTATTTGATCTCTGCAAGCCTCAGTTCCCTCATCTACAAAATAGTGATTACTGAGTAGAGTTAACAATAATCTATTGTATATTTCAAAACAGCTAGAAGAAAGGTTTTGGATGTTCTCATCACCAAGAAACAATAAATGCTTAAGATGATGGATATGTTAACTTCTCTGATTTGATCATTACACAGTGTGTACATGCATTGAAATATCATGTTGTACCCCATAAATTTGTACAATTATTATGTGTCAATCATAAAAAGGGTGATTATGATGGTATCTACATAAAAGGGTGTGAAAGAGGATTAAATGTATAGACTATGTAAAGGGTTCAGTGCTTAGAACGCAATAACAACTACTAAATGGTAGTTCGGATGATGATGATGATTTATTGCTAAATACCCTAATCTGCTCAAATTATTTGGCTATCATTCATTCATTTAATCACTCAATCAACAAATATTTACTGAGCTCCTGGTAAGTACTAAGCATTGAGTTAGGTGCTAGGAATACAACAATAAATAGGACCCTGCAGTTCTCAGGCTTACATTTTAGTGGGGGAGACAGCAACAAGGAAGCAATCAAGTAAATAAGAAAATATCAGGTAGTGATAAATGCTGTGCTGAAAGTAAAAACTGAGTGATGTGACAGAAAGAGTGTCTTGGGGGTTGGTGGAGGGCATTGATTATTAGAGCCCCGAGTTCACCAGTAGTGAAAAAGTATCTGAAAATTCACAGTTCAACTAAAATATCTCAAAATTCATACTCATATAGTGTAGATAACCGTATATTATGTATTTCCCTATTAAACCATAAACTAAAAAGTTGTTTAATATTTAACTATACATAGACTTTCTTTGTTAATAATTCTCGATTTCCTTCTTATTATATATTTTAATTAAAAATATTGATATTAAACAGAAAAATATATTTTAATTTTATAGCAAGTCTTAGAATTTTTCAAAATACAGAAGAGTATAAAGAAGAAACTAGAAATGTCCCATAATTACTCTGACATCATACAATCATTGACATCAATCATGAATATAGTTGGAAAATTAAAATTCTGTAATAGAGAAGGATATGATACTAGAAGTAAAAGTCTTTTCTCACTGCCCCTGTCTCTACTAGTCCCTGTTTTCAAAGGTAATTATCAAGTTTCCTGTGTTTCCTTAAAAATTTTATGCATATATCATATGTAGGTAACTATCTTTTTTATTTCTATCAATGAGATCATACTGAAACAACATTCTTGGTTTCTATTTTTCACTGACTGACACAGCTTTGAGACCTTTCCAGGCCATCACAGGCAGAGCAGGTCATTCTTCGTATAGCTGCATGATATCTTATTGTGTGGTTATTGAGTCAATTCCCTACTGTACACAAGTAGTTTGTCTCTGGATTTTTGTTATTACAAGCAATGTAGTCATAAATATCTAAAGGAGAAATGTAAAAATAGGTATGAGTCAATCCTGCAAAAGTAACACAATTGTCAAACTGATTAAATGAATTTAATATTTAATATTATGTTTTATATTATTAAAGTTTTTTCAATATTTGGCAGAAATTTTACAGAAAAATTAAAATTCACTCTATAAATGGTTTGTGTCATCTTTGTTGTAACAGATTCCACAGATATTGATCAACAAGATCCATATTCAACAGATATTATTTCACACTTAAAATTTTTTTGACAAAAGAATGTGACTAGTTATGTTTCACTTTTATTGAAGATAGGGAAAAAGGATATATGATTCAAACGTAAGAGATGACTGAGTTTATTGTGAATTTTCACACATTGGAACTAAAGATTGTGAGATATCTTTAACCAACAATCCTAAGACAAGGCTAAGAAAAAGTCTGAGTTTAGAAAAGAAGAAATTAAAGAGTGTCTTGATTTATTTTGAAGTCAGAATCTAACTCCTTCTCCTTTTAAGTTCTCCTACTTCACAGCAGATTTTTAAAAATTTGAATCTTACTTTCATATTGTGGAACCAAAAGAAGAATTTTTAGTAAGGATTTCACCATTGCCAAAAATAGTTAGATGATTATTTCATGTTTTTTTGCTCGATGCATTAATTTACCCATTTGCAATTGTGCTAGGAGCTAGGGATGTCAGTCTCTTCTCATTTAAAAAGGAGTAAAAATCCAATAAGATGGCTGCTGTGGACAGGAGGGCACTTGGGAAAACTGCCTTGTAATTTTTAAGTAAGTTACTAGTTTTGATTTGTGCTTAGTGGACCACTGCATCTTGTCACTAGTAGCTGAATGCTCAACTTCAATAACCAGATCTGATTCTCTGGTTCATTTAAACCGGGGTCCCATTAATGAAAATAAGATCATCAGATTCCACAGTCTTCTACAATAGTTATTAGTTAATGTGCACTGGGAATTGACAAAGTGAAGAGTGTGAATGTGTGGTTTTTGGAAACACAATTATTTTATTAGTTTCATTAAAAGCTCTTGATCAAGTTATATGCTATTCAACAAAATGCACTCCAAAATAGTTACAAGTTTTAAGGTTTCCTTTTCAGCTTGTGTGAAAACACTAGAAAGCACCCACAGAAAACAGCTACTTCTTTCTCCAGAGGTTTCACTGGGATCTCTCAATATGTGCATTCATAATAAAATATCACAATTTACATGAGTAGCCCATAGTTAATTAAAGAGAACACATTTTCTCATGCAATTCAAATCTCACTGTGGGGAGTCTACTTTTTAGAAAGACACAAAAACAAGTAGTTCAAATGAAGAAATATCTCTTGGCTTTCCCATGATTAAAAAGCCTGTCCTTGGGCATTATTCATTAGCTACACCTTTCAAATGGCTTACACAAAGAACAATAATTATTACAATATTCACTGATAGTAAGCTTCAAAGCTCACAAATGTCAAAATCAGCAATTGAAAAGTATTTACAGAAAGAGAACCACAAAGTGCAATTTATGTTTGTGTAATCTTAGCTGGCATACATGTGCAATGAGATTTATTTAAGAAGTGCAATCATAAACCCTATGGTTACAAACGAATATAATTGGGATTCACAGAGCAGAAGAAATATGCTATTAGATGACAATTATTCATTTCTGTATATATGACTCAAGTTCACTACTATGCATTGAGAGCCCTTTTATGGAAATTGCAAAATATATATTAATATCCTCTTTTATGAGTTGGGTTCAAATATGGCCCATGAAAAAGTTTGTGTTTAATTATAACATTGAGTTAGTGATGCAATTAATATTTATCCAAATTCCCATTTAATTTCACACATTATAAGTGTCCTTCAAATTTAAATTGAAAAAGACACTTAAAATATCGGGATATAGACTTGCACTTTCATTTAAAGACATAATTAATTCTTAAAACATTAAGCTAGAGAATAAAAGCATTTACAATGGCAAACAATTATCTGATATGCTTTATAGTTTAGCATTCGTTATTGAAAGTTATCATAGCATATTAGATACAGATATAGCATTTGTTATAGAACACACTCTTATTTTATTCTGTGGTACATCTTCCATTCAGATTGAATTGTGACCCAAAGTGTTTACAGTAGCTGTCTGGGTAGTCAGATCTTTTTAATCCTTTTATGTATTTATTTTCTCAAGGCTCTTTAATGACCATGGATTGTATACAGTCTCTCTCTGTCTAAATATAGTATATATAGTAAGCATACAAATTCCCATTGTGTGTGCCTGCATTGCTATCAAAAAGTCCTACCTAAAGTTGGTAACTGTGGAAGCAGGTGATTGGGTACACAGGGGTTGTTCATCATACATTCTCTCGAATTTTCTGTAAGTTTGGAAATGTCATAATAAAGGACTAAATAATGTACTGCTTATTTATACATAGTCATCTGCAGGATTTATACTGAAAAGGTTACCAAATAGGTCCCAGTTCTCTGGGAATATACAATTTAGGACATGCAATATGATGAAGATTGACATATAGAAAATATCCCAAGAATAAATGAACATGGAATAAGTATAGAGAATAAAATGAGTTCACTTTTGAAATTTTCATATCATGGTTATCTCTTGTTTCTCCTTGACCTCCTTCAAACTTTGACCACTCTCTCATCCCCATCTATTACCTGAGAATCACTGAGTCTTGCCAGTTTTCCTGGCAATTGCTCTCAGGGCCATTGCTTTCCACTTTCAAAGCTACTGTGAGTCTGGGCCTTTGCCATTTTAAGCCTGGATTGCTGCAGAGACATCTTAGTTGTGCTCCTTAATCTCTGCTATCACTTGATTTCAAAATTCACCTTGAATCCTGCTGTTAAATTCAACTTCCTAAAACAGAAGTTATCATTTCTCTACCTTAGGATACTGAAGCCCATTTCTCTTGTATTCTTCTAACACAGTCACTCTGCTTATACTAAGGCCCTTCTTATTAATCCCTCAGTAAACTTATCTACCCATTTTGCTGTCTCTTTGTTTTTGCTCAGTCTTCTGCTCCATCTTACACTTCCAACAACCTCACATCTATTTATTTATTATAAGTACTTATTTATATAAGTATAGGTTGGATACTTTCAAGATCTACTTCTTCCTCCATACATGTCCTGTGATTACCATCATCATTTTACCTTTCATTCAAATACTTCAGTGTTTGTGAGTGTCACCTGAACGACATGACTTCTATGGGATAAGTGATCCAGTGGTCCATCCTAGACCAATTAAATCAGAATCCCTGGGGCATAGACATCAGAAAAAAAATTTTTGACATTAAAAATGTCTCTAACCTGTAAGGAGGTGATTCTAACATATAGGTAGTTGAGAACCACTCATCTAGACAATATTAAATTTCTTCATTTGTAAGTACTACTCATTAATTTGGTCAACAGCTCTGGTGTCTATCACAGAGGTAGAACACTGGCAGCCCTGACATGTTTTGTTTGGCCCATGGAGTGTTTAAAAAAAATTTCAGACAATGTTTTAAAATTGGGAGATTTATCATAAACATTCACGTATCCAGCTCCTCTTGAAAAAAAATGGGAGATCTGGTGAGACTGGGCCTGCCTTTTTGAAAGGCAACACTGGCTAGAACTGAATTGTGGCTCTCCCTTCTAGACTGAGGGAGCTTCCAGTTGGCTTCAGTCCCCACTACTCCCTACAACTCCCTCACAGGGGCTAAGTGTTAACTGCAATTTAATGTACTATTTGCACAGTGGTTAAAGTTACTGTTTCCCGTAATACCATAACCATTTCTCTCACTGCTGAAGTTGAAAATATTTCTATGTGTCAAATACTCAGGCAACCGGCCCACTTTATTCATTTATGTTATCCTCCTGGCCTTGTTAGTAATCTGAGTTTGTAGCCCCTGGCGTGGTATGTGGCAAGTATACTCTGTTAAGTGCGAAGGATATAGAAGAATGAGGTACAGTGCCCTTTTTGGAGGAAGTCACACTTTATGGGAGAGATGCAGACATATTACACTTATAATTTAGGTGCCTGAGTGTCTACCTGATTCTGCTGATCTTAGAGGATGGCCTCCGAATTTTATTTCAGTTTGGCGAAGTTTAGTCATGTTTAGCAGCTGTGTGACATGTGGAACATCTGTCATTAGTTGACAGCTTCGTGGTATAATATCTGTAGGCTCATCTGTTGAAAAGGGAACACCATAGACAGCTGGAAATAAAGACAAACATTCATTTTCAAAATGTAAGCCATTTCTGCCAAATGGACCTATCATATAAATGAAATCAATTAAAATTAAAGATTTTAGCGTATGACTTTGTACGAGTTATTCAACCTTTCAGCCCTGATTTTCTCATCTGTGAAATGAGCATGATAATTTTACTGCTTACTTCCTAGGGTAGACATGATTAAATGAGATAAAGCTTACACTATATGGAGCAAGTTCAGAGAACTATACAATAAATAAGAGCATGCATTGGAAATATTCCATATTTTCTTTTCAATACTAGAGGTGTGACTTGAGAGAACTAGTTAGGTATGTGCCATTTAAGATTTCTGGGAGTACATCAGCTTATTTATATGAGATCAATAAGTACAAAGATATTGAATAACCTAAGCACCCACAGCCATTATATGGGTAAATTAATTTTTTAACTTATTTGAAATAATTTTAGACTTTTAGAAAAGTTAAAAAAAAGTTCAGAGTTTCTTGTTACCCTTTACCCAGCTTCCTCTGTTAACATCTTACCTTTTAATATTTTCAAAATAATAGCTTATTATACTTATAATGATATTTTATTTTAATTTCATTCATGTATATTTATATGGATATATTAATTGTCTCTTAAAAATTGCTTTTTAATTGACAAATAGGAATTGTACATATTCATAGTGATGTTTACATACACATAATATATGGTGAACAGATCAGGGTAATGAGCATATTCATCATCTCAAACATTTATCATTCCTTTTTGGTGGGTACACTCAATATCTTCCTATCTATTTGAAAGTATATAACATATTATTGTTAACTATAGTCCTCTTACAGTGGTATTCCTCTTATCTAGCCATACATTTGTATTCTTTAATACATCTTTCCCTACCCCTCCCTTCCCCCTACCATTTCCAGCATCTAGTATCCTCTGTACTTCTTTTTACTTCTAAGAGATCAACTTTTTAAAGCTTCCACACGAGTGAGAACACGTGGCATTCAACTTTCTGTTCCTGGCTTATTTCACTTAACATAATGTCCACTTCTATCCATGTTGCTGCAAATGACAGGATTTCATTCTTTTTTATGGCTGAATAGTATTCCATGGTGTTTGTATACCACATTTTCTTTATTCATTCATCTGTTGTTGGACACCTATGTTGATTCTGTATCTCAGCTATTATGAATAGTGCTGCAATAAACATGGGAGTGCAGATGTCTCTCTGTAATTTTCTTTTTAGTAAATTTTCTGTTCATGTTTGTAAGCCATTTTACTATTAGTACATTTTTCCTATTTACTTATATGACCTCTTTTATAGTAAATATATTAAGCTTTGTCATTTGTAGCAAGTGGGAATATAAATTAGTATTAATATCCTAGAAAGACTTTACTATGTGTACCAAAGTCTTAAAAATGTTCATACCATTTTACTCAGTAATTTCATTTTATGAATCTATTCTAAAATTAAAAAAATTAGAAACTCAAGGATCTATGCAAATAAGCGTTTATAATTTCTGAAAAATAAACAACTTAAATTTCCAGCACTTGAGGAGTGTTAAGTACATAACAGTGTTTCATGGGATGAGACAGTAAAGAGCCACAATAAATTGAATTTATGAAGATGTTTTCACGATATGGGAAAGGCTTGAGATAAAAAGTTAAATGAAAAAAACAGATACAAAAAACTCTATCTCAACCATAGAAAATAAATTTATAAAATGTATGAATGGGTTGGGTGTGGTGGCTCCAGTGTGTAATCCCAGCACTTTGGGAGGCTGAGGTGGGAGGATTTCAGACCCAAGTTCAAGACCAGCCTGGGTAACATAGCCATACCCCATATATCTTTAAAAAAAAAACAAAAAAATTAGCTGGGCATAGTCCCAGCCACCCAGGAAGCTGAGGTGAGAGAATCACCTGAGCCTGGGCGGTGGAGGCTGCAGTGAGCTATGACTGCACGACTGCACTTCAGCCTGGGAGATGGAGAAAGACCCTGTCTTAAAAAAAAGAAAAAGAAAAAGAAAAAAAAGTGTGAATGGCAAAAAAGACTGAAAGGAAATATACCAAATGAAACTAACTTAGGTGGTTAGCTCAAGCATAGTTTTTAATTTTATTCTTCACAATAATTTCTATATATGTTTGATTTTTATGAGTAAAGTTTCTGTTTTTAGAATGTAGTGGGAAATTTTGTGTGTATATATGTGACTGTATGTAGTCAGGAAAATTCAACCAATCATCCCCCAAAAAACTTCCTTATGTACAATTCTCACAATTTATAAAAGCAAATAGAAGAGGTTTCTGTGCATCCTAGCCATGACATTTTTCTAATTAGATCCTAATGTCCTAATCTGAAAAAGGAAAATCAGTCATCTAACTAAAAACTTAAATACTCATCAGCAATGCAATGATTTCTAAATGTCCTAATGCTCTAGTCATTAAAAATGCACTAGATTTATAAATATTAGTTTTCAGATGTTTTGTCCATCCATTCTTTGTCATCAACATTTAGAAAATCTATATAAAGTAACTGAGCAAATGAACTCTCAAAATAGTAAATATTTACCTAACTTCAGATATATTTGACATATACTTCAAAACTCCTTTGAGATAGAAGAAGATAATTTCCATGTCAATGCCAATATTAATAAATGAAGGTTTTTTAAATTAGAAGATGAAGAGAATTCTGGAGGCCAGTGAAAACCTGAAATAAAATGCTGTCTTCTGAACCCTATGACGAGAATCATGAAAACTTTAGCTTAGCGGGCTTGTGTGACAAGTACAAGGATACAGTGGCATACAAAATTTGAAATGTATGAACACAAAACTTGAATTTACAACTAACAAGAGACAGATAGCAAATCTCTAGTAATCGTAAATTCCTAAGCTTTTATGGAAGATACAACAAGGCAGGGACTATCACAAAACTGCAATCTGAATCTTAAACGTGGTTGACATGCAGATCAGATTTCACATTAAAAGGCTCAAATCTAATCTGCATCACCCAACATCTTTCCTTTCTGTATATCTACTCCCCCTTTGCACCTAGAACTGTTTCACCACTTACTGGATTATTCTTTGAGGGAAACTGTGAGCAGTATAAAACCTGCAATAAAAGGAGAAATGTTTTTTAAAAAACACTGGTTGATTATTTTAAAATGAAGACTAACCATTAAGCCCATCTAGAACTACTAGCTCTAAAGGTTTCTCTGAGATTTCATGGTGGAATACTTGGAAAAGGGACTTTAGTCTCATTTTTGTGAAACCAAACTATGAAAGAGCTTTAGGACCATCTATTACCTGGCAGCTGGATGTTCTCTAGCACTAAATGGAAATTCACTCATCTCCCCACCTCACCACTAACCAATCACCATCTTTTCTATGTCCAATTACTAAGTCATTGTATTTTTAGCATATACAGCTTAATTTTAAAATAAAGGTGAAGTGTGAAAATAGAATAGACCCTACATAAACATTAAATAGCGCTTCATTGTGAGTTCACAGAAAGCATGGTCCAGTTTCATTTATTTACTCATTGTGTCATTCAACAAATATTTATTGAGGCTCTACTATGTGCCAGGCGTATGTCTAATGGCTGGGAATCTAGCAGTGAGCCAGAGTGACCCTGTCCTTGCCTCCTTGAAGCTTACACCTAGCAGAGAATATGAAACAAATAAAATCACAAATAATTCTTTTTTTTTCAACTTTTATTTTAAGTTCAGGGATACATGTGGAGGGTGTGCAGGTTTATTACATAGGTAAGTATGTGCCAAGGTGGCTCGCTGCACAGACCATCCCATCACCCAGGTATTAAGCCCAGCATCCATTAGGTATACTTCCTGATGCTCTCCTTTCCCCAACCCCTGACAAGCCCTAGTGTGTGTTATCCTCCCTCCATGTGTCCACGTGTTCTCATCATTCAGCTCCCACTTATGAGAGCATGCAGTATTTGGTTTTCTGTTCCTGCATTAGTTTGCTGAGGATAATGGCTTCCAGCTCCATGTCCCTGCAAAGGACAAGATCTGGTTCCATGTCGTTGCTATTGCAAATAGTGCTGCAGTGAACATATGCGTGCATGTATCCTTATAGTAGAATTATTTATACTCCTTTGGGTATATACCTAGTAATGGGATTGCTGGGTCAAATGATATTTCTGCCTCTAGTTCCTTGAGGAATCACCACGCTGTCTTCCATGATGGATGAACTATGAACTAATTTGCACTCCCATCAACAGTGTAAAATCATTCCGTTTTTCTCCACAACCTCACCAGCATCTATTGTTTTTTTTTTTTACTTTTTTTTTTAATTTTAGTATTTTGTTTAATCCAACATATACAAAATCTTAATTCAACATGTTATCAATATTAAAATTATTAACTTTCTCACAGAATATTTCACATTCTTTATTTCATTCTAGCTCTTCAAAATCCAATGTGAATTTTATACTTAGAGAATGTCTCAATTCAGGCTAGCCACATTTCAAGGGCCGACTAGACATGTGGCTGGTGTTTACTGAACTGGGCAGCGTAGTTCTAGACAACTTTTCACATAAATGACAATAGTAGGGTACAAGTATGATTTGCCTCCGTTCCATTTACAAACCCCATCACAGCAACCAATAGAAGCAGTATGAAACCTAACCCAGTGGCCAATAGGAAAGCTTGGAAAGCTGGAATCTGAGTGTCCAGAATTGTCAGTGAAACTTCAAAGACAGTCAGGAGGAAGCTGACCTAGCTCCACAACCCCCATGCAAACAGAACTGAGAGGAATCATTACCTCTATTTACCAAACCATAAGTATGCTCATTCGCCAATCTTTTTTTTTTCTTTTTTTCTTTTTTTCTTTTTTTAAATTTATTTTTTTATTGATAATTCTTGGGTGTTTCTCACAGAGGGGGATTTGGCAGGGTCATGGGACAATAGTGGAGGGAAGGTCAGCAGATAAACAAGTGAACAAAGGTCTCTGGTTTTCCTAGGCAGAGGACCCTGCGGCCTTCCGCAGTGTTTGTGTCCCTGATTACTTGAGATTAGGGATTGGTGATGACTCTTAACGAGCATGCTGCCTTCAAGCATGTGTTTAACAAAGCACATCTTGCACCGCCCTTAATCCATTTAACCCTGAGTGGACACAGCACATGTTTCAGAGAGCACAGGGTTGGGGGTAAGGTCACAGATCAACAGGATCCCAAGGCAGAAGAATTTTTCTTAGTGCAGAACAAAATGAAAAGTCTCCCATGTCTACTTCTTTCTACACAGACACGGCAACCATCCGATTTCTCAATCTTTTCCCCACCTTTCCCGCCTTTCTATTCCACAAAGCCGCCATTGTCATCCTGGCCCGTTCTCAATGAGCTGTTGGGCACACCTCCCAGACGGGGTGGTGGCCGGGCAGAGGGGCTCTTCACTTCCCAGTAGGGGCGGCCGGGCAGAGGCGCCCCTCACCTCCCGGACGGGGCGGCTGGCTGGGCAGGGGGCTGACCCCCCCACCTCCCTCCCGGACGGGGCGGCTGGCCGGGCAGAGGGGCTCTTCACTTCCCAGTAGGGGCCGCCGGGCAGAGGCACCCCTCACCTCCCGGACGGGGCGGCTGTCCGGGCGGGGGGCTGACCCCCCCACCTCCCTCCCGGACGGGGCGGCTGGCCGGGCAGAGGGGCTCCTCACTTCCCAGTAGGGGCGGCCGGGCAGAGGCGCCCCTCACCTCCCGGACGGGGTGGCTGGCCGGGCGGGGGGGCTGACCCCCCCCACGTCCCTCCCGGACGGGGCGGCTGGTCGGGCAGAGGGGCTCCTCACTTCCCAGTAGGGGCAGCCGGGCAGAGGCGCCCCTCACCTCCCAGACGGGGCGGCTAGCCGGGTGGGGGGCTGACCCCCCCACCTCCCTCCCGGACGGGGTGGCTGCCGGGCGGAGACGCTCCTCACTTCCCAGATGGGGTGGCTGCTGGGCGGAGGGGCTCCTCTTTTCAGACGGGGTGGTTGCCAGGCAGAGGGTCTCCTCACTTCTCAGACGGGGCGGCCGGGCAGAGACGCTCCTCACCTCCCAGACGGGGTTGCGGCCGGGCAGAGGCGCTCCTCACATCCCAGATGGGGCGGCGGGGCAGAGGCGCTCCCCACATCTCAGACGATGGGCCGCCGGGCAGAGACGCTCCTCACTTCCTAGATGTGATGGTGGCTGGGAAGAGGCGCTCCTCACTTCCTAGATGGGATGGCGGCCGGGCGGAGACGCTCCTCACTTTCCAGACTGGGCAGCCAGGCAGAGGGGCTCCTCACATCCCAGACGATGGGCGGCCAGGCAGAGACACTCCTCACTTCCCAGACGGGGTGGCGGCCGGGCAGAGGCTGCAATCTCGGCACTTTGGGAGGCCAAGGCAGGCGGCTGGGAGGTGTAGGTTGTAGTGAGCCGAGATCACGCCACTGCACTCCAGCCTGGGCACCATTGAGCACTGAGTGAACGAGACTCCGTCTGCAATCCCGGCACCTTGGGAGGCCGAGGCTGGCGGATCACTCGCGGTTAGGGGCTGGAGACCGGCCCGGCCAACACAGCGAAACCCCGTCTCCACCAAAACCAGTCAGGCGTGGCGGCGCGTGCCTGCAATGGCAGGCACTCTGCAGGCTGAGGCAGGAGAATCAGGCAGGGAGGTTGCAGTGAGCCGAGATGGCAGCAGTACAGTCCAGCTTCGGCTCCGCATGAGAGGGAGACCGTGGAAAGAGAGGGAGACCGTGGGGAGAGGGAGAGGGAGAGGGAGAGGGAGAGGGAGAGGGAGAGGGAGAGAGCTTTTTTACTTTTTAATAGTGGCCGTTCTGACTGGTGTGAGATGGTATCTCATTGTGCTTTTGATTTGCATTTCTCTAATGATCAGTGATACTGAGCTTTTTTTCATGTTCGTTGGCTGCATGTACGGCTTCTTTTGAGAAGTGTCTGTTCATGTCCTTTGCCCACTTTTTAATGGGGTTATTTGTTTTTTTTTCTTGTAAATTTCTTAAGTTCCTTGTAGACTCTGAATATTGAACCTTTGTCAGATGGATAGGTTGCAAAAATATTCTCCCATTCTCTAAGTTGTCTGTTCACTCTGATGATAGTTTCTTTTGCTGTGCAGAAGCTTAGTTTAATAGAGCCCATTTGTCTATTTTGAAACGCTTTTGTTGCAATTGCTTTTGGTGTTTTCATCATGAAATCTTTGCACATGCCTGTGTCCTGAGTGGACAAATCTTTGCCTGTGTCTTGTCCTGAATACCCAGATTTTCTTCTAGGGTTTTAAGTTTTGGGTTTTACATTTAAGTCTTTAATCCATCTTGAGTTGATTTTTGTATATGGTGTAAGAAAGGGGTCCAGCTTCAATCTGATGCATATGGCTAACCAGTTATCCCAGCATCATTTATTGAACAGGGAGTATTTTCCCCATTCATTGATTTTGTCAGTTTTGTTGAAGATCAGATGGCTGTAGATGTGTGGCCTTATTTCTAGGCTCTCTATTCTCTTCCACTGGTCTATGTGCCTGTTTTCGTATCAGTACCATGCTCTTTTGGTTACTGTAGACTTGTAGTATACATTGAAGTTGGATAGCATGATGCCTCCAGCTTTGTTCTTTTTGCTTAAGATTGTCTTGGCTATACAGATTCTTTTTTGGTTCCACATGAATTTTAAAGTAGTTTCTTTCTAATTCTGTGAAGAACATCAATGGCAGTTTAATGGGAATAGCACTGAATCTATAAATTACTTTGAGCAGTATGGCCATTTTCATGATATTGATTCTTCCTATCCATGAGCATGGAATGTTTTTCCATTTGTTTGTGTCCTCTCTGATTTCTCTGAGAGTGGACTGTAGTCCTCCTTGAAGAGGTCCTTCAATTCCTTTGTTAATTGTATTCCTAGATATTTTATTCTTTTTGTGGCAATTGTGAATGGGAGTTCATTCATGATTTGGCTCTCTGCTTGCCTGTTGTTGGTGTATAGGAATGCTAGCAATGTTTGCACATTTATTTTGTATCCTGAGATTTTGCAGAAGTTGCTTATCAGCTTAAAAAGCTTTAGGCTGAGATGATGCGGTTTTCTAGATATAGGATCATGTCATCTGCAAAAAGGTAATTTGACTTCCTCTCTTCCTATTTGAATACTCTTTATTTTTTTCTCTTGCCTGATTGTCCTCGCCAGAACTTCCAATACTATATTGCATAGGAGTGGTGAGAGAGGGCATTCTTGTCTTGTGCTGGTTTCCAAGGGGAATGCTTTCAGCTTTTGCCTGTTCAGTATGATATTGGCTGTGGGTTTGTCATATACAGTTCTTATTATTTTGAGGTGTGTTTCTTCAACACCTGGTTTATTGAGAGTTTTTAACATGAAGGATTTTTTTTTTTTTTTTTTGAGATGGAGTCTCGCTCAGTCGCCCAGGCTGGAGTGCAGTGGTGCAATCTCAGCTCACTGCAATCTCTGCCTCCCGGGTTCATGCCATTCTCCTGCCTCAGCCTCCTGAGTAGCTGGGACTACAGGTGCCTGCCACTACGCCCAGCTAATTTTTTTGTATTTTTAGTAGAGACGGGGTTTCACTGTGTTAGCCAGGATGGTCTCGATCTCCTGACCTCGCAATCTGCCTGTCTTGGCCTCCCAAAGTGCTGGGATTAAAGGCGTGAGCCACCGTGCCCGGCCAAAGGAACGTTGAATTTTATCAGAGGCCTTTTCTGCATCTATTAAGATAATCATGTGGTTTTTGTCTTTGGTTCTGTGTATGTGATGAATGACATTTATTGATTTGTGTATGTTGAACTAACCTTGCATACTGGGGATAAAGCCAATTTGATTGCAGTGGACAAGCTTTTTGATAAGCTGCTGGATTTGGTTTGCCAATATTTTTGTGAAGATTTTTGCATCAATGTTCATCAAGGATATTGGCCTTAAGTTTTCTTTTTTTGTGGTATATCTGCCAGGTTTTGGTATCAGGATGATGGCCTCACAGAATGAGTTAGGGAGGAGTCCCTCCTTTTCAATTGTTTGGAATAGTTTTATTAGAAATGGTACCAGCTCTTTTTTTGTACCTCTGGCAGAATCCAGGTGTGAATCCATCTGTTCCTGGGCTTTTTTTTTTTGGCTGGTAGGCTGTTTATTGGAGCCTGTATTAGTCTGTTTTCATGCTGCTGATAAAGACATACCTGAGACTGGGCAATTTATAAAAGAAAGAGGTTTAATGGAGAACTCAGAGTTCCACGTGGCTGGAGAGGCCTCACAATCATGGTGGAAGGAAAAGGAGCAAGTCACCTGTTACATGGATGGCAGCAGGCAAAAAAAGCTTGTGCAGGGAAACTCCCCTTTTTAAAACCATCAGATCTCAAAAGACTTACTTGCTATCATGAGAACAGCATGGGAAGTACCTGCCCCCATGATGCAATTACCTCCTACTGAGTCCCTCCCACAACACGTGGGAATTCAAGATGAGACTTGGGTGAGGACACAGCCAAACCATATCATTCTCCCCTTGGCCCCTCCCAAATCTCACGTCCTCACATTTCAAAGCCAATTATGCCTTCCCAACAGTCCCCCGAAGTCTTAACTCATTTCAGCATTAACTCAAAAAGACTACAGTCCAAAGTCTCTTCTGAGACAAGGCAAGTCCCTTCTGCCTATGAGCCTGTAAAATCAAAAGCAAGTTAGTTACTTCCTAGATACAACAGGGGTACAGGTACCTATTCCAAATGAGAGAAATTGGCAAAAACAAAGAAGCTACAGGCCCCATGCAAGTCCAAAATCCAGCAGGGCAGTCAAATCTCAAAGCTCCAAAATGATCTCCTTTGACTCCATGTCTCACATTCAGGACACGCTGATGCAGAAGGTGGGTTCCTACGGCCTTTGGCAGCTCCACCCCTGTGGCTCTGCAGGGTATAGTCCCCATCTTAGATGCTTTCATGGGCTGGCACTGTCTGTGGGTTTTCCAGGCACACAGTGCAAGCTGTCAGTGGATCTACCATTCCGGGGTTTGGAGGATGGTGGCCCTCTTCTTACAGCTCCACTAGATGGTGCCCCAGTAGGGAGTCTGTGTGGTGGCTCCAATCCCACATTTCCCTTCTGCACTGCCCTAGCTGAGGTTCTCATGAGGGCCCTGCCCCTGCAACAAACTTGTGCCTGGGCATCCAGGCGTTTCCATATGTCCTCTGAAATCAAGGTGGAGGTTCCCAAACCTCAATTCTTGACTTCTGTGCACTTGCAGGCTCAACACTATGTGGAAGCTGCCATGGCTTTGGGCTTGCACCCTCTGAAGCCATGGCCTAAGCTCTATGTTGGCCCCTTGTAGCCATGGCTGGAGCAGCTGGGTCACAGGGCACCAAGTCCCCAGGCTGCACACAACATGGTGACCCTGGGCCTGGCCCATGAAACCATTTTTTCCTTCTAGGCCTTAGGGCCTGTGATGGGAGGGGTTTCCAAGAAGATCTCTGATATGCCCCAGAGACATTTTCCCCATTGTCTTAGGGGTTAACATTCAGCTCCTCATCACTTGTGCAATTTCTGCAGCCAGCTGGCTTGAATTTCTCCTCAGAAAATGGGATTTTCTTTTCTATCGCATTGTCAGGCTGCAACTTTTCAGAACTTTCATGTTCTGCTTCCCTTTTAAAACTGAATGCCTTTAACAGCACCCAAGTCAACTCTTGAATGCTTTGCTGCTTAGAAATTTCTTCCACCAGATACCCTAAATCATCCCTCTCAAGGTCAAAGTTCCACAAATCTAGGATATGGGCAAAATGCCACCAGTCTCTTTGCTAAAACATAACAAGAATCACCTTTGCTCCAGTTCTCAACAAGTTCCTCATTTCCTTCTGAGACCACCTCAGCCTGGACTTTATTGTCCATATCGCTATCAGCATTTTGTTTAAAGCCATTCAACAAGTCTTCAGGAAGTTCTAAACTTTCCCACATTTTCCTTTCTTCTTCTGGGCACTCCTGTTAGTTCCAAAGTTGTTTCTACATTTTCAGGTATCTTTTCAGCAGTGCCCCAACTCTATTGGTACCAATTTACTGTATTAGGCTGTTTTCATGCTACTGATAAAGACATACCCGAGACTGGGCAATTTACAAAAGAAAGAGGCTTAATGGGGAACTCACAGTTCTACATGGCTGGGGAGGCCTCAGAATCATGGTGAAAGGCAAGGAGGAGCAAGTCACATCTTACATGGATGGCAGCACGCAAAGAGAGTTTGTCTAGGGAAACTCCCCTTTTTAAAACCATCAGATCTTGTGAGACTTATTCGCTATTACAAGAACAGCACAAGAACGACCTGCCCCCATGATTCAGTTACCTCCTACCAGATCCATCCCACAACATGTGGGAATTCAAGATGAGATCTGGGTGGGGACACAGCCAATCCGTATCACTGCTTCAATTTCAGAACTTGTTATTCGCCTGTTCAGTGACTCAATTTCTTCCTGGTTCACTCTTGGGAGGGTGTATGCATCCATGAATTTATCCATTTCTACTGGATTTTCTAGTTTTTGTGCATAGAGGTGTTTATACTATTCTCTGATGGTTGTTTGCAATTTTGTGGGGTCAGTGGTTACCATTTCTGCTCAAGTTTATTTGATTCATTTGTCTTTTCATCTTTATTACTCTAGCTAGTGGTCTATCTACTTTATTAATTTTTTTCAAGAAACCAGCTCCTGGACTCGTTGATTTTTTGAAAGGTATTTTGTGTCTCTATCTCCTTCATTTCAGCTCTGATCTTGGTTATTTCTTGTCTCCTGCTAGCTTTGGGGTTTGTTTGCTCTTGTTTCTCTAGTTTGTTTCATTGTGATTTAGCTTGTTAACTTGTGATCTTTCTAGCTTTTTGATGTGGGCATTTAGTGTTATAAATTTCCCTTTTAACAGTGCTTTAGCTGCATCCCAGAAATTCTGCTACATTGTCTCTTTGTTCTCATTAGTTTCAAAAAACTTCTTGATTTCTGCCTTAATCCCATTATTTACCTAAGAGTAACTCAGGATCCGGTTGTTCAATTTCCAAGTACTTGTGTAGTTTTGAGTGAATTTCTTAATTTTGAGTTCTAATTTGGTTGTGCTGTTGTCTGAGGGACTGTTTGTTACAATTTCAATTCTTTTGCATTTGCTTAGGAGTGTTTTACTTCTGATTTATGTGATCAATTTTAGAGTGAGTGTCATGTGGGGATGAGAAGAATGTATACTCTGTTGTTTCTGGGTGGAGAGTTCTGTATATATCTATCAGGTCCACTTGATCCAGAGCTGGGTTCAAGTCCTAAATATCTTTGTGAATTTTTTGCTTTGATGATCTGTCTAATATTGTCAGCAGGGTGTTAAAGTCTCCCATTATTATTGTATGGGAGTCTAAGTCTCTTTGAAAGTCTCTAAGAACCTGCTTTATGAACCTGCATGCTCCTGTATTGGGTGCATATGTATTTAGGATTGTTAGCACTTCTTGAATTGAACCCTTTACCACTACATAATGCCCTTCTTTGTCTTTTTTGATATTTGTTGGTTTAAAGTCTATTTGTCAGAAACTAGGATTGCAACCCCTGCTTTTTTCTGTTTTCCATTTGCTTGGTAAATTTTCCTCCATTCCTTTATTTTAAGCCTATGTGTGTGTCTTTGCACATGAGATGGCAGCATACCATGAATCTTGGCTCATTATCCAGCTTGCCATTGTGTCTTTTAATGGGGACACTAAGCCCATTTACATCTAAGGTTAGTATTGTTACGTGGGAATTTGATCCTGTCAACATGATAGCTGGTTATTTTGCAGATTTGTTTATGTGGTTGCTTCAATGTTACTGGGCTGTGTACTTCAGATACACTGTACTTCAGTGTGTTTTTGTAGTGGCTGGTAATGGTATTTCCTTTCCATATTTAGTGCTTCCTTCAGAAGTGCTTGCAAGGCAAGCCTCGTGGTGATGAGTTCCCTCAGCATTTGCTTGTCTGAAAATTATCTTATTTCTTTTCACTTTTGAAGGTTAGTTTGGCCAGATATGAAATTCAGGATTGGGGAAATTCTTTTCTTAAGAATGTTGAATTTGTTTCCCAATCTCTTCTGGCTTGTAGGGTTTCTGCTGGGAGTTCTGCTGCTAGTCTGATGGGCTTCCCTTTGTATGCGAACTGGCCTTGCCCTCTGGCTGCCCTTAACATTTTCTCTTTCATTTTGACCTTGGAGAATCTGACGATTATGTGCCTTGGCATTGATCGTCTCATGGAGTATCTTATTGGGGTTGTCTGCATTTCCTGAATTTAAATGTTGGCCTGGCTTACTAGGTTGGGGAATTTCTCCTGGATGCTATCCTGAAATATGTTTTCCAACTTGGTTCCATCTCCCGGTCTCTTTCAGGTACCTCAGTCAGTTGTAAGTTCAGTCTCTTTCCATAATCCCCATATTTCTTGGAGGTTTTGTTCATTCCTTTTTTTCCCTCTATTCTTGTCTGCCTTTCTTATTTTGGAAAGATAGTCTTCAAGCTCTGAGATTCTTTCCTCCACTTGGTCTATTCTGTTACTGATACTTTTTTTTTTTTTTGTGAGATAGTGTCTCACTCTGTCACCCAGGCTACAGTGCAGTGGTGTGATCTCATCTCATGGCAACCACTGCCTCCCAGGTTTAAGCGATTCCCCTGCCTTAGCCTCCCAAGTAACTGGAACTACGTAAGCGCATCAGCATGCCCGGCTAATTTTTGTATTTTTAGTAGAGACAGGGTTTCACCATGTTGGCCAGTCTGGTCTGAAACTCCTGAGCTCAAGTGATCCACATGCTTTGGCCTCCCAAAGTGCTGAGATTATAGGTGTTAGCCACTGTAACTGGCCTGCTATTGATACCTGTGATTGCATTGTGAAGTTCTCATGTTGTGTTTTTCACCTCCATCAGTTCAGTTACGTTCTTCTTTAAACTGGCTATTTTGGCTATCAGGTCCTGTATTGTTTTATCATGATTCTTAGCTTCTTTGCTTTGGGTTACAACATGCTCCTTTAGCTCAGCAAAGTTCGTTATTACCCACCTTCTGAAGCCTACTTGTCAGTTTAGTCATCTCAGTCTCAGTCCCATTTTGTGCCATTGCTGGAGAGCTGTTGTGGTCATGTGGAAGCAACTAGGCACTCTGGCTTTTTGAGTTTTCAGTATTTTTGCATTGATTATTTCTCACTTTTGTGGGTTTATCTACCTTTGATCTTTCAGATTGCTCATCTTTGAGTTGGGTTTTTGTGGGGTCCTTTTTGTTTATGTTATTGTTGTTTTCTCTTTGTTTTTTTTTTTAACAGTCAGGCTATTCTTCCATAGGGCTGCTGTGGTTTTCTGAGGGTCCACTCCAGACCCTAGTTGCCTTGTCTTTTCCCATACCAAGGTTACCACCAGTGAAGGCCATGAAACAGCAAAAATGTCAGCCTGTTCTTTCCTCTGGAATCTCCATCCCAGGGGGGTACTGACCTGTTGCCAGCCTGAACTGCACCTGTAGGAGGAGGCTGGAGACCCCTGTTGGGAGGTCTCATCCAGTCAGGAGTAACAGGATCAGGGACCCACTTAGAAAAACAGTCTGGCTGCTTTCTAGTAGTGCAGCTGTGCTGCGTTGTGGGAGACCCTTCCTTGTCCAGGCTGTCTGGACTCTCCAGAGCTGGCAGGTTGGAACTGCTGAGTTGCCTAAACCACAGAGATGTTGGCCACCCCTCCCACTGGGGACTCGGTCCTTCTCAGGCAGACTCAAGCCTGCTGCTGCTGACTGGCTGGAATTTGCCATTAGGTCTTAATTTGTGAGACACTGTGGAAGGGGGGCCTGCAGAACATGCTGCTTGGCTTCCGGGATTCAGTTCCCTTCCTAGGGATGGATCTCCCACCTTGCTGAGAATCCTGGGGGTGGAGTATGCAAAACTCCTGGGTCTCTGTGTGTGCCTGAGTGGCTGCTCTGCTGGGACTCCACACAGCTCTGTTTATTGGACCCAGTACCCTGGTGGCATGCGCTTATGAGGGGATCTCCTAATCTGCTGGTTGCAAAGATCCGTGGGAGGGGTGTGGTTTCCTGGGCAGGACTGCACAATCACTCACCGCTTCCCTTGGCTGGGGTGGGGGGACTGTTGGCTTCATGCCACTCCCGGATGGGCCATCACCCCACCCTGCTTTTTTTCCATTCTCTGCAGGTCAAGCTGTTTGCCTAGTCAGTAATGTGAGAACCTGGATATTTCAGCTGAGGGTGCTGAACTCACTTGCCACTTTCACTCCTCTCCACGAGTGCTGCAGACCACAGCTGCTTTTAATCAGCCATCCTGGCCCTCTCTCCCCACAGATAATTCTTTAATTAAAATTTTGCTAAGTACTCTGAGGGAAAAGTTCAAGGTGAAGAAACAGCATAATGGGAGAATCTAATAGCATAAGGCGTCAGGGAAAGTCCTGTGTGATAAAGAGACATTTAAGTTGAGTCATAAAAGATAAGTAGAAAGTAGCCTGATAAAATGGGTGGGAGTGATCAGTGAGGTGAAAGGAATAGATCATCGAAGACTGTGAAGGCAGAAGGACTCTGGTGCATTCTAGGAACTGAGATAAAGTTCTGCCAAAGGATTGTTAGCCTGGAAGTGAATGACTGGAGAATCCTAATGATATATTTAGTACAGCACCTGGTTCAAAGGGGATGCAAAGTAATCCCCTTATGGACAGAAGCCCCTTAATAACAGCCTGGACTAGATTAAATGCAGCTGCCACGTCTTCCCTTTTCTTCCTTTGGTTAGTCTTTGTTCAGCTATATCCTGAAAAGTACTCCATACACATTTTATTTGGATATTACAACTTTCTCCCAGATGGCAAATAACAAATCAATCAGATATTAAGGGACCAGGGCCTGTCTGCATTGTTCTTTCAGACATGTTCTATCTTCTGGAAGGGACTGTGTATGGAAACATACAGACTGCCTGATTAACATCTAGATAAGGACATAGCTGAATCTAAACTGCTTTTGCTAACAAATATGAAAGCATGTAATGTTGGCTGGAATGGCCAGTTGAGAATGGCTAAATGGCACATGAAAGAGAAGGCTATGAGAAAGCTGACAGCTCATGCAGCGTCCAAGCACAACCAGATGGTGGGTTTCTTGATGTCTTTGCTCCCAATATGAGGTAGTGTATTATTGGAATGTTTGAGTGACTTTGTAACCCTGTTCCCCTTTCTTTGGCCATAAAGCCATCATAAAATGATCCATTCTGTAGGTGTTTAATATCTTTGAAGAGGATCTTAACTAGCTGTAAGAATTAAGTCATCAATTTTAACACATATGTAAAGCACTTTATGTATTAAAAATCATCATCCCCATTTTATTAGGGGGAATGGCTTGTAGAGAGTGAGATTTATAGATCGGTTTTGGTATACGTCTCCTTCTAATTAATATAGTTTAAATAATGACTAATTTTGTAATAGTTTGCTGGTCTCAGACTCATCTACGTTCATCTTATTTATTTGGTAAGAGCCTGCAGTGCCTAGCACAGTGCTTTAGTTATGTGGAATTTCACCTCTCTGAAACAACAGTGAGGGCCAAGTATAAAACACAAAGTTCTCTGCCAAAATATTGCGATAAAGTGTGTTCATTTTTTGTTCATTCACTCATTCATTTGCCATGTAACTCTCAGATTTTCTCTGAGTTTGCTATAGAATGCTGGAAAACATTAAGAAGCAGTATATTATAGTGGTTAAGAGCACAGGCTCTGGGGCAAGGCTTCCTGGGCTCATATTCTGGCTCCACCACTTATTAGCTGTGTGACCTTGGCACAACAACTCTACCTTGTTGTATGTACCCTGCTCTCCTTATCTGTAAATCATGGACACAAAAATAATACTTACCTCAAAGGGCTATTGTGATAATTAAATGAGGTTTAAGTAATGATTAATGTAAATGAGGGGATAAGAATAGTGCCTGGTATACAGCAAGTGCTACGTAAGTGTTTATGTAAATTATTTCATTACAATGGTGAAAAAAGCACTACATCTTACTAAGTGATTTTTTTAATAACAAAAGGTTTTGATGTCTGAAGGGGTAAATAAACCTGAGCTACACCTAAAACTTGGCTATCCTGAATGAATCATGCCTTTAGAGCTTTTTTAAAAAAATGCTTTATTGAAGAGAAATTCACATTAACAGAAAATTGACCATTTCAAAGTGAACTATTCAATGGGACTTAGTACATTCATAATGTTGTGCAACTACCACCTCTATCTACTTTCAGACATTTCTATCACTCCAAAATAAAACCCCTTATCCATTAAGTAGCTTCTCCCCAATCTCTCAAGTCTCCAGTCCCTGGCAGCCACAAATCTCTTCTGTCTCTGTGGATTTGCCTATTCTGGATATTTCATAAAAGTGGAATCATACATTATGTGACCTTTTTTTGTCTGGCTTCTTTCACTGAGCATGTTTTGGAGGTTCCTCCACATTGTAGCAAGTGTCAGTACTGCATTCCTTCTTATGGCTGAATGCCATTCCATTGCAATACATACAAATGGCTGAGTGCTATTCCACTGTAATACATACATCATTTTTTAATCCATTCATTTGTTGATGAACACTTGGGCTGTTTTCACATTTTGGCTAATGTGAATTGTGCTGCTATGATTATGTATGTACATGCACTTGTTTGAATACCTGTTTTCCATTCTTTTGGGTATATACCTAGGAATGGAAATGTAGGGTTACATGGTAATTCTACATTTCACTTTCTGAGGAACTGCCACACTGTTTCCCCACAGCGGGTGAACGATTTTATGTTCCTACCAGTAATGTACAGGGGTTCCAATTTCTCTACATCCTTGCCAACCCTTATTCCCATCCTAGTGGGTATTAAGTGGTACCTCACTGTGATTTTAACTTGCATTTCCCTAATGGCTAATGATATTGAACATTTTTTCACGTGTTTGTCTACCATTTGGATATCTTATTTGAAGAAATGTCTATTCAAGTCCTTTGATTATTTTTAAATTGAGTTGTTTGTCTTTTTGTTGTTGAGTTTTAAGAGTTCTTTATACAGTCATCCCTTGGTATCCACAAGGGATTGGTTCCTAGGACTCTACACAGATACCAAAATCTGCAGATGCTCAAGTCCCTTATGTAAAACAGCACAGTATTTACATATAACCTATGCACATCTTCCAGTATACCTTAAATCATCTCTATATTACCTACAATACCTAATACAATGAAAATGCTAGGAAATAGTTATACACACTGTTTATTTGTATTACTTTTATTGTTATATTGTTTTTTTAATTTTTTTCCCCTGAATATTTTTCATCTGCACTTGGTTGAAAATCTGTGAATGGGGAAGCTGCAGATATGGAGGGTGGGCTGACTATATTCCGGGTACTAGAATATACTAGAATGTTTTCTCTCTATATATTCATATATAAACCAGGATACATATCGTATCAGATATATGATTTGCAAATATTTTCTCACATGCTGTAGGTTTTCTCTTCACTTTCTTGATGGTGTTCTTTGATACACAAAAGTTTTACATTTTGATGAAGTACAATTTATCTATTTTTAAAAACTTTGTTGCTGTGCTTTTGGTATCATATCTAATACTATTGACAATGCAAGGTCATGAAGATTTACCTTTTTTTCTCTAAGAGTTTTACAGTTTCAGCTCTTATATTTAGGTCAAGGAAACATTTTTAGTTAATTTTTGTATACGATATGTGGTAGGAGTCCACCTCATTTTTTTGCATGTGGATATACAGAATCATCTGTTGAAGAGACTATTCTCCTTCTATTAAATGGTCTTATAGCCCTTTTTGAAATCAAATGTATGGTTTGTGTATTAGTTCCTTCTCAGGCTGCTATGAAGAAATATCCAAGACTGGGTAATTTATAAAGGAAAGAGGTTTAATTGACTCACAGTTCTGCATGGCTGACAAGGCCTCAGGAAACTTACAATCATGGTGGAAGGGGAAGCAAACATGTTCTTCTTCATAAAGCAGCAGGAGAGAGAAGTGCTGAGCAAAGAGGGGAAAGCCTCTTATAAAACAATCAGATCTCATGAGAGCTTACTATCACAAGAAGAGCATGAGGGTAACTGCAGCCATGATTCAATTACCTCTCACCGGGTCTCTCCCACCACAACACATGGGGATTACGAGAACTACAACTCAAGATGAGATTTGGGTGGGGACACAGCCAAACCATATCAGTTTGTTTCTCGACCCAATTCTATTCAGTTGGTCTATATGTCAATCCTTATTCCAAAGCCAAATTGTTTTGGTTACTGTAGCTTCGCAGTAAGTTTTGAAATTGGGAAGTGTGAATCCTTCAACTTTGATCTTCATTTTCAAGACTGTTTTGGCTATTTGGGTCCCCTTGCTATTCCACAGGAATTTCAGATCAACTTTTCCATTTCTGCAAAAAAGCCCATTGGAATTTTTGGAGAAATTGCATTGAATCTGTATCTCAACAATATTAAATCTTCTAATCCATGCATGTGAGATGTCTTTCCATTTATTTAGGTCTTCTTTAATTTCTTGCAGGAACGTTTTGTAGTTTTCAGTGTACTTTCTTCTTCTTCATTACATTTATTCCTAGGTAGTTAACTATTTTGGATGCTATTGTAAATGGAATTGTTATTTTTAGAGTTTCTGAGAGATGAGGTTCTATTATAAATAATATTTTATAAATGTTTAATTTTAAAATATAATAGATATTTGAATCAGAATAATTGTGAGTCTTGATATACAGATATTCATGACCCATTTTTGGTGGTTCTACTATTGGCTGCTGGGCACCTCTGTTATACTAAGACCATACCCCCTATCTTGTCCTGAGGAGATTTGCTAGGAAAGGGCATTTTGAGTTCATCTCCACTACAGGAAGGTATAGAAATAGAGCCTTAAACTAATGAGATTTGGGTATGATGTGCATTCACCTGATTTGGAGATGAAAATAGAGGTGAGGAAACACCCAACATAAGAATACCAAATATTATTACAACTAATAATAAATACTAAAACCACAAAATCATTCTGATTATTGGTGGAGGTAAACTTGTGCACTGTTGAGGTCTTGAATTCCATCTTGTGTGACTGCAGCACAAAATGCCTCACTTCCATGGGCTTTCTTTTCCTTATTTGTCTAATTAAGACATTGGATTAGAGCATCTCTAAGGTCCCTCCCTGTTCAGTGAGTCTATTAAGGCTAGATGTCAGTGTTTCTAGATTCTCCGTGGCTTCTGAAGGAATAAATTTTCTTCACATTGCTTGACACTCTATAAAGGTTTATTGAACGGAGACAGTGAATGGATGAATAGTTAAATAAATAGCCAATCTTTAATTCATTAATTAATCAAACACTTATGATAAGTTACCAGTGCCAGGTCATTTGCTAGAGACAAAAACATGAAAATACAGGGTCTATGCCTTCCAGGGCCTCTTAGTCTGAAATCATACCTTAATTTTTCTTTTCTCACATTTCTGAACACAGAATACACAGAACACAGAGCACAGAATATTTGAGAAAGAGACCTGAACTGGGGAGTAAGGAGACCTGTATCATCATCACTGGTGTATCATATCTTGCTTCATGGATCATCATTTGATCTTCTCTCTTCTCATTTCTCTCCTCTGTCTTCCTTTTACTTAACAATCTACACAGATATTATCATTGCTTGTTCTACTCCCCTTGTTTTTCTCCTCTTTCTCTTATCTATCTAAATATGCATTCTGGTTTTTATCTTAAACACAGAATGATATGAGTTAATCAATAATTCAGTCATAGAAATGCCTAAAAATGCCAGCTCATGTCTCCTCAGGAGCCATAAAAGTAATAAAGTAAATTGAATCAGTACGCTTTACTACTTGTCCAGCAAAAGTCATTCTTCTGGAAAAGTGAAAACTGATTAATTGCTTGATGCAAGATTCCAAAAAATTCACTTTCTATTATATCCCACTGTGTAAAGAGAGAATAGAGAGGAATCAGGCAAAATCTCCTAGCTTGGGTGAGTTTAAGAAGTTCTAGACTGAAATGATAGCAGTTTAAGTAATCCAAGGACAATAAAGTACTGAGCTCAAGTAAGCACTTAATTCAAAATTTTTAAATCAAATCCCAGTGTGGAATTTAAGAAATAGGTTAAAAAGCTTCCTATGAAAAAGTTCTCAACACAGCCTCATCAGTCTTTGCAGAATAAAGACAAAAGATATCTGTTACTTATTGCAATATAGATACCCTCAACACAGCCAGTCACCAAATCTTGGCATTCTTACTCCATGGCATCTCTTGTATCTTTCCTTTTTAAATCTGTCTCTCTTCTACCAGCACATGAGAAGCAGCAAACTGAAATAATTAGGAATATAAGCTCTGGAACCCTACTGCAAGGTTCAAGTCCTGGCTGTACTACTGAAGAATAGTGTGACATTGTGCACCTTACTTGACCTCTCCATGCCTCAGTTTTCCTACATATAAAATGGTGATAATGGCAACATCCATCTCACAGAGTTGTTATGAACACTAGGTAAGTTCATATCTATAAGTGTTTAGAACTCTGCCTAGGTCACATCAAGAAGTAATGCTGTAATCAGCACCACAATCATCATCACCATCCCCACTACCGTCATTATTATCACAATCATTGCATCACTTCTACTGCCCACCTCCTTGACCAAGGACACTCAATTTGTCCTATACTATGTTATCCTTTGTCCTTTTATGTGTAATTGTCTTCATAATGAACTCTTGTATTAACTTTTCTAACGTCTATAATTACACACAGAACTCACAGGACAGGAACTGAGCTCTACATCTTTATGTCAACCCAAATATGCAGCCTAGTGTGGCAATATTGTATTATACCTTCTACCCTGCCACCATACTGAACTTGTTCCTTGAGCATATGAGATCCTTTCATGATGCCATGGCTTTATACATATATGCCCTTTCCTCTGCCTGAAATGCTTTTTCTACTCATTGTCCTATTTTCATTGTTGGGAAAATAATTATTAATACTTTTCCTTCAAGATGCAGTACAGGGCTAGGTGCAGTGGCTCACAACTGTAATCCCAGCACTTTGGGAGGCCAAGGTGGGATCACTTGAGTCTAGGAGTTCAAGACCAGCCTAGGGAACATAGTGATGCCCTGCCTCTACTCAAAATAGAAAAAAATTAGCTAGGCAGGTGGTACACACCTGTAGTCCCAGCTCATCAGGAGGCTGAGGCAGGAGGATAGCTTGAGCCCATGGAGGCTGAGGCTGCAGTGAGCTGTGATCACGCCACTGCACTACAGCCTGGGCAACGGAGTGAGATCCTCTCAAAAACAAAAGCAAAAAACAAGATGCAGTCTGGAAAGTAAACTTCTTAGGTCAGTATCTCCTAAACAGTGGCTATGGACAGATACTGATCCAGGAAGTCATTTTCACTAGTCTATGGTGAAAATGTCAGCCTCCATTCCTAAATTAAGACCTTCCTACTTTGTGCCTCGTGTGTGTGTGTGTGTGTGTGTATGTATGTGTGTGTGTCTGTGTAAATGTCCTTTCATTTAATGAAACAATCAGAATAACTGAAGTTTTTCTTGTTTGTGTGTTTTAATCTTCTGATTTGACAAATTTATATGTCGGCAACCTATGGTAGTCAAATTTTTCTTAACCTGACAGGTCTGTGAAATCCAAGAACCTCACCAAATGGCTCTCTCAAGTAAGGGGCAAGTGCTCCAGACTCTCCTCTTACTGCTAAGTAAGCTCATTAGTGAAGTTACCATTGGGATTTAATACACTATTACATGTAAGGTTTCTTGCCAGACCCTGAGCAGGGAAGCAGGGGCTGCATCATCCCGGGGTCTGGTGAACAGAAGACAGATAAATGTTTAACATCTGCACACTGCATTATCATTTATGCACATCTATTTTTGTATTTGATTGGATCTCTACAATAACCTTATAGCAATCAATGAGAAAGCAAAGCTCAGAGATGTTCAGAACTCATACAAACCCACAAAGTTGGTGCAGGATCACAGCAATGTACTGTGTGGGAACATTACTCCATGTCTTAGGCGCTACAATACCAACTTAACTTTTCTAAGATGTACTTGGTTTACACACTTTGTGTTTGCACTGGAAATATGATAATAGCATTTTACCTAATCAAGGCATAAGTATTATCCTCATTTTACTGATAAGGAAGCTGAAGCATAAAGATAGGGTGCGTACAAGGCGAAGTACTGGCAGCTAAGATGAAAGGAATACGGGGTTATACACCACAGCACCTTGAACCATAGTGTGCTTCCCCGTGTCTATTCAGAACATTTCAGGCCATCTGAGAGGCTACATTCATAAGGTTTCTTTTCAGGCCTTCCAAATACCTGAAAGAAATCACACCAATGCTCGTTCTTAGACTCCCTTACGGATAATCCATTCATTTTTAATAAAATTAATTTTTAAACAAAATAATACATCTATATTATTTAAAAGCTCCAGTGGTACTACAAAATTATAAGAAAAAAATCACTGTTACCCTTTCACCTAAGGCTGCCCTTCCACCTCCCTTATCCCAAAGTCTTGCAATGCAGAGGCAAGTATTTTCAAGCCTTTCAGTTATATCTTCTACATCTTCTAGTGTTTATTTCCATAATTATACATAGTAGCTTTATACTAATATTTTTTCACTTTTCAGTTTTGGATAATATCTCTGACTTCCTATTTTGAAAGAAAGAGGATTCACCATTCTTAAGCCACCACCCCGTTTTCCTTCCCTTCTCTCATCCTTCTAATATGATTTTTCATAATTTTTGGATAAATTCTTATTCAGTGTTTTACATTACTAAGATCATACTAAAAAGTTTATACTACACACATATTAGAACGGTGAAATATCCAAAACAGTGACAACACCAAATGCCGGTGAGAATGTGGAGTAATAGGAACTCGTATTCACTGCTGGGGGAAATGAAATATGGTACAGCCACTTTGGAAGACAGTTTGCAAGTTTCTTACAAAACTAAACATGCTGTTACCATACAGTCCAGCAACCACAATCCTTGGTATATCCAAATGAGTTGAAAAGTGTATCCACAAAAAAACCCCACACAAAAATGTTTATAACAGTTTTATTCATAATTGCAAAAGCCTGGAAGCAATGAAGATGTCTTTCAATAGGTGAATGGATGAATAAACTGTGGTACATGTATACAATGGAATATTATCCGGTGTTAAAAAGAATTGAGCTATGACGGCATTAACAGATATGGAGGGACCTTAAATGCGTATTACTAAGTGAAAGAAGCCAATCTGAAAAGGCTACATACTATATACTTTTAACTATGACATTCTGGAGAAGGAAAATTAGGAAGACAATTTAAAAAAATGAGTGGTTGCCAGGGGTTAGGGGAAGAAAGAAAGAAATAGCTGGAGCACAGAAGACCTTTAGGGCAGTGAACCTATTCTGTGTGATACTATAGTACTAGCTAGACACAGGTCTTTACCTATTTGCAAGAACCCAAAGAGCGTATAGTACCAAGAATGAATTCTAATGTAAACTATAGACTTTGGATGATAATGATGTCTCAGTGTAAGTTCATCGATTGTAACATATGTACCATTCTGTTATGCATGTTCACAGTGGGGAAGGCTACATGCATGTGGGGACAAAGGACATGATGAAAACTCTATACTGTCCGCTTCATTTTACTATGAGCCTAAAACTGCTAAAAAAATAAAGTCTACTTAAAAAAAAAGTTGTGCATATCTGAGCTACATGATATATTACGATATTTCTTCTCTTGTACAACTTTTTGTTTTTCTTGATGTTGATTATTGCTTTGTTTTGTTGTAGGTTTTCTACACTTCTAACATTAATTCTTTCTAAATCCTCCATTAGCACTACAACACCACAATCAATTTTATTCTTCATGTTCAAACACATCATACTCTATCAGATACATTTTTTTCCTGGAAACTTTTCTCCTGAAAGTTTCCATTTTTCTGCTAAACTCTGGACAGTCTGCCTATAGATGTGCTGTCCAAGAGTCATCCTTTGAATTCTTTTGTGCTTAATTCTAGAAATCCTTTTGCTTTCTTTTCTTAAAGACTTAACTTTCTTGTTTTAAATTAAATTAAGTTTAATTTAATTTTAAGTTCTGGGGTACATGGGCAGGATGTGCAGGTTTGTTACATAGGTAAACATGTGCCATGGTGGTTGGTTGCATCTATCAACTCATCATCTAAGTATTAAGCCCAGCATACATTAGCTATTTTGCCTGAAGTTCTCCCTCCTCTTGTTCCCTACTCCCCAACAGGCCCCAGTGTGTGTTGTTCCCCTCCCTGTGTCCATATGTTTTCATTGCTCAGCTCCCACTTATGAGTGAGAACATGCAGTGTTTGGTTTTCTATTCCTGTGCTAGTTAGCTGAGGATGATGGCTTCCAACTTCATCCACGTCCCTGCAAAGGACATGATCTCATTCCTTTTATGGCTGCATAGTATTATTCCCTGGTGTATCTGTACCACATTTTCTTTATTCAGTCTATCACTGATGGGCATTTGGGTTGATTCCATGTATTTGCTATTAAGACTTTACTTTTTTGGAGCAGCTTCTCTCTTTGCTTTTCTCCTGGATGAAATTTTCTGTTTCTTGAATCCTATATACTTCTTTTTCTTCACCCACTCACTCATTTTTGTGGAGAATATCTTCGAGATATTTTCTGAGAAACGATGTAAATAAATTTTTGAGGCCTTGTATCTTCATTCTGCATCATTTGATTGATAGATTGGATGCATATAGAACTTTAGGTTGATAATAATTTTTCCTTAGACTTTTAAAGGTAGTTTCAAGGTCTTCTATCATCTAACATTGCTATTAAGAAGTTAGATATCATTCTTATTCCCAATCCTTTGTACATAAATTGTATTTTTTTAAATTGTGGAAGTTTAAAGGATCTTCTCTTTATCTTTCCTGTTCTAAAATTTCACAGTGCTAAGTCTTTTTCATTAGTTGTTCTGGCATGTGATGAGCTATCTCAATCTGAAAATATCTGTCCTTGAATTTTGGGAAATCTTATATTTCTGTTTCTTCTAGTCTCTCTTTCTGGAATCCTTTTACTCTGATGGTGAACTCCGTGGACTAATACCTAATATTGGTAGCATTTCCATCCTATTTTTAGTCTTTTGCACTTATTTCTCTTATTTTTTGGTTTTATATCTTCAGAGGAAGAAAACACCACCTAGAGCCTCAAAATATTTCCTAAGTTTTGATACCCAATGTCCATCATTAACTCAAAACTTATCAGGCATACCAAGAGACAAGACCAAGGGAAAAATAAACAGATAATAGAACTAGGCCTACATATAGATCCAAATATTGGAGTTGTGAGCTAAATGCTTTAAAATAAGTTTGATTAACATATTTGAGAAATGTGTTAACAAGATGTAGAACTCCATCTTATGAATGGAAACTATAAAAAAGAACCAAATGCAAATTCTAGAATCAAAAAATATAGTAACTGAAATTAAGAATGCTGAAGTATGCATTCATTCTGCTCTGAGATAAATGCCTACATGAATGCCCCAAGAGAAGTAAAGAAGAATGCTTCTAGCACCATTATTCATAACAGCTGAAAACAGATAAATAAAATCAGGTATATCCATTCAATAGCATACTATACAGTACTGGAAATCAGAAAATTACTGTTATGTGCCACAACATAAATGAATCTCACAAAGAATGTTTAGTACAAGAATGCATACATGAAATATGTACTATGTGATTCCATTTATATAAATGTAAAAGATAGGTAATATTAATCTGTTAGAAGTCAGTATAGAGGTTATCTCTTAGGAGAAGGAAGGAAGTGATGATTGGGAGGAGACATAAGCAGGCTTGTAGGATGCTTGTAATGCTTGATCTGGGTGGTGGTTACAGAAATGTGTTCACTTTGTGGTAATACCTCCAGTTGTACACTTATGATTTCTGCATGTTTCTATATGTATATAAAATCTATAATATAGTAACACTTATAATACACCTCAATTAAATGTTTATTGAAGTAAAATAAAAACACATTATTCTTATTTTATAGATGCAGTATCTTAACTCTGAAAAAAACCATGGATATTCCCTGTCATATCTATTTCCTTCTTGTTAATTTTGATGTCTATCAAGTGCCTGATGCACCCATGTTCAAAAGCTCTCTGATTCAGTTTCTCCAGAGACTAAATCTCCTGTGGCTTGGTTATATGGAGTTAGAGCAGGAACCTGGGGTCCTCCTATAGCAACCCGTACAGAATTTTGGCCAATCTCCCTGTTTTCAGCCCTCATCCTTAGCCTGCCTTTGCCAGTATGTAAAGCTGCAAATTCTTGAGCCTCTCTGAAACTCCTTGGCAAACTTCTCTATAAACCTAAAGGTTTCAGTTTTCTTTGCTCTTCTAAGTCATTGCTTAATCTTATAAAATTTACAAACGTCTCTTGTCCGTTATTGTCTCCCCTCCCATATTCTTTATTCTGGTGGATTTATGCCTTTTTTATTCCTATATAGTAATTTCAGTGGAGCTTGAGGAAGGATCAGAGATTGAAACATGCATTTACTTTGCTATGTTTGATCCACTTTTTTCTTTACATTTATTTTAAAATATTAATCAGGTTATGATTCACCTCCTATGATCTGATGTACACTGCACAAATATTTCTATAAATTTTGAGGCTTCTTATTAGCTGGGTGCCATTTAAAAAAATGAAATCTTTCACTTTCTCGTATAGTCTGTAAGTGGGTACATAAGATGAGCAGCCACACTGTGGTGTGTGATCTCTTTGGAGAGCTGTTAATACACTGCTGTGCTTTATTATCAAATGAAATTTATAGGCACAGTGTCCTGTTCCACAGAGTGAGCCACATCAAGATTTCTCAGGCACACACCCAGATGGAGCACAAATCTGAAGTCTAGATAGAAACTTCTAAGTAATCACCTTTGACATCTTATATGCAGCCCTGCTTCCTGGACTTCTAGAAGAATTGATTTAACAAATAATAATCCCAGATGAAAATCAAAAGGAGGCATCAGTATTCTTTCAATACTTTTGGTTGTTTAAAACCATCTGAGCAGTATGGTGTGCTACCTTATGAATTCCAGGGAGCTGAGTTACCTGCAGAGTATATTTATAAATCAAATTATGAACAATTAATGTAAATATTTCTAGTCTCTCTAGAAATATGAGGAAGAACTCAACTCTTTCCATTTTAACTTGATCACTAGAAAATTAATATGATTTCTCCCAAATGACTTCCTGAAATGTACACAGAGTAATAAGACAGCATAATGGACAGAGATTTTTGAATGCCCAACATCTTTTGCACACCCTTCCTAATTTGATGACTTTCCCACACAATGAGTCCTGCCTCCTTAGTCAGGAATCAGACATTGCTTTGCCTGCCTTCCTTGCAGCATGCAACCTAGACTCCACAGGACAGAAACAGCCACACCAAACGTTTTCAGTGGAGACAAACATGAAGAAAAATATATCTACTTCTGATAAGGGTGGCAGGGAAGAAAACATCCTACTTTCAGGGGCTGCTGTAACAGAAATTATGGAACTTATAGCCCAGCATTATGATGTGACTTATGGAGTCTCTGTATAGTTGCAGTAGCTACTGGCAGTGGGTGGAGGTGGCAAATGGATGGGGTTGTCCTTAGATAAGTCTTGTGGGAGAGGCTGGATTCTTCTTGACTATAGGCTCTCAGCTGACTCTCTAAATATCCTTGAGATTCTATGAACTGTCTGATTTCCTTAAATAAATTCCTGTTCTTTTTCAACCACCTAAAGAGGATTATGTTGTTTGTAACTAAGGAGCCTAAGACAGATAGCAAGTGTTACCATAAAGAAAAAAGAAAACAACCACAAAAAGAAGATTAATACCTTTTTTGTGACATTCAGCTATAGTAAAAATAAACATTTGATCTAGAACAAAGAAATCAGCATGACTGTTGACAAATTTACTTTAGCAGACATAACATCAAACTGCTACCACACACTCATACTATCCCAAAGGTATGGCTAATTTTAAAAATACATCAGAGAATTAAAAAATCTTGATAGCAACCTGAACATACCATCCTTATCAGCAGTGTCTTGTGGCTTTGATTTTAAGGTGAAGATCTTCCGTAGCTTACAGTTAGCTGAGACAACAATTCCATCCAATGACTGGAAAACTGCCCCCTTGAATATTTCACTGGTGAATGCTACTAAGTCAATGCATAGATTGCACCACTAAAATAGAGAGATGCAAAGAAGAGTAAGGACCTTTCATCAACACATAAATGAACAAACCATCTATATGTAGACATTCAAAGAGTTGAGGCAGTTATCCTGATCAACAAGCCCCAAACTAATTTTCCTCTTTAGGTAAACTTATCTCTGTTTTGGCTTAAAAACTGACTTGATCTTTCCAAAGAAATCACCATAATTCTAAATTACACATTGGTCATCTGACTACAGAATTCCCATCATGAGACAAGACTATGACAACTTTGGGAAATAACTCTCTATCTGTAGGCAGTATGCCAGCAGGAAGCTAATTGCAGGTGTGTTAGACCAGTGACATCTTGAAAATCAGAGATAAGTAGCCAATTGTTCCTTCAAGGGGACTAATTTGATCACAATTAGCCACTCGTATTTGTTGAAAAAGGCATGGATGAAATTAGAAGCTGGGTTTAAATTATGGTCAGTGCTGTCTACTTATAACCAATTAACCTATTGTACGGAAACAGATTCTTCTAAAGAATTTGTAATTATGCTGGGTATTTGCCAGTTTTTAAAGTACTCTTGCAGGGACTAATTTCTGCGCATTAAATAATTAGGCCCCTCAATACTTCATCAAATGAATTTTCTGAATGGTTAAAGAAAATGAAAAAAAATCATTTGGCAAGAAACAAAGACATATTTAAGACTGTAGGACAAAAGCCAGAAAAATAATTTTTGAAATGAAAAGTAGTATTAAAGTTTTATGTGCTTCTTTTAAAATATTGGGCTCTTCCATTATTTGTTTAGAAGCAAGGTTTACATAAGGTCCTGTATATATAAATATATATATATATATTTTTTTTCTTTTTTTTAAAGACAAATCTTATATATCTAGGAATGCTGATTTTAATATGGAGGTGAACCTTAGGTTGCTTCCACAGTAGAAAAAGTAAAAGAGACCGAAATACATTATTTATTAAATACATGAAGAGTATTTTCTATGTAGATGTCTCAACAGTAAAATTACATTTGCAGGCTGTGGCAACGCTCTGGTCTTTGTGGAGAGAGGAGCCTGGTGTCAGCAAAGGCAGCAGGTAAACTGAGAGTCAAGTAATAGTGTGATTGGCTTGACTGGCAGAATGGTGAACACTGGAGCGGAATGAAGTAATGTAAGATGGCCCAGTGAGGCCAGGTTTCAGAGCATCTGGAGAGGGTAAAGCATCACTGCGGTTCTTTACAAAAGAATGTGCAAAAGCAGAGTGTTGAGAAGTTCGGACTAACCATGATGCAGGAATATTTTGAGGTGGGAGATGGGGTTGGGCGGGGGAATGAGGCAGAATGGAGAGCACCAAGGCACAGAAAGACTAGTTTGGTCCCTGTCAGTCATCTAAACACGAAGTGAGGAGGGCTGGCTAGGAAGCTTATGTAGGAAGTAGAGTGTAAGGGACAAATCCAGTAGATACGCCACAGAGTGGAACACTGTGGCTTGGTGAAATGCAGGTTATAGGGGATGGAAGTGTTGGGGTTTCTAGATATCCAATCATAATTATTAACCTTATTATAATATTAGCATTATTATTGTTGTATAAACGTGGTTCCTAGTCCTAAAAGACTTCTTATCATGCCCCAATCTCAACCATTCAGCTGGTTCATCAGTCAGCAATTCCAGTGACCCATTCTTCCCCACACATACTAAGTACCTATCATGTGTTAGACTCTGGGCTTGGCTCCAGGGGTACAGACATAAATAAGAGAGTCCTTTCAGTCTGGGAAGGAAGGCAGACATGTGGTATCTACCCAATACAGTTACTACTGAGGGGGCTCATGGTGGGTATGTGGGGAGGCTTAGGAAAGCTTTATTTGAAAAAAACATTTTAAAAATTGTATTATGGTATTATATGCAAATATAAGCCAGATAGCACCAAAAGTTTGATACGAAATACAGTTCTTTGTCACCCTACCCCTCATCTAATCATACTGTCAACTCATTTAACTGTTTCTTCCCTCTGTATTTTAAAGTAATGCCTCTTGATTCATCAATTTTGGACACTATCTACTGACTTCCTAATATGGTAGATAAGACTTAGCTAGCTAATACCCTGCTTCCCCTACTTCATCCTCCCTGGATAATTATTTGTTCTCTCATTTGCTCTCATTTTTTCCCTCAACATCCATATTCTGTGTTTTCTTTCTTGTGGCCATGTAAATACTGTATACATCTGAGCCAAGTGGCTCTCTATGATTACCTTTTCCTTCCTTATACAACTTTAAAAACATTTTTGCAGTTAACCATTGTTTTTTAATATTATCTGCTTTATTTTCTTTGACTCTAAGTCTTCCCATCTAGGAAAGACTTGGAGGTGACATCTGAGTTTGGTTTTGAGCAACAAATACATTTTCCAGGCCCAGCATGGCATGGACATGACATGCTGGGGATTTCTTCTCAGGATCCTGCCCCTTTATTACCTGTTTAGACCATCTCCAGCTGGTTACACCACCAGCTCTGCTTGGGAGTCAGTTCCAACCTCCTTCAAAAACTCTGAGTCCTAAGAAACCAGATCCTTACCCACTGTACACTTTTCTTATCCATCATGGTCACGCTCCTTTTATTCTGTCAACCTGGACTCATGCTTCATGGAATGTACTAAACAAATAAGGGTATGCATATGTGTGTGTGTGTATGAACACATTAAGATGTGTGTGTATGTGCACTGACTGTGGGCATTGAGTATATGTGTACATGCCTACACACATACACTCAATCTTTCATTTAATAATCATTCAAGAAATAAATGGCTGGGAATTGATAACTTTATTTAATGAATCAATTTCCTGGGAAAACAGATGGGGGTGGTTTCTAAAAAAGATGGAAATAACTTTCACAAATCCCCCTTGGCTAGAGGAAACAGAAATTATTTTTTGATTTAGCTGATATTGATAAAGCTTCCAATACTCATATGCTTCAACAAATAACTCATTGTTCATATAAATGCTGTGATATATTTTCTGAAGTATTGGAGAAGTGTATAAACTCTCTACTACCAACAGGTGGATTATCTGAGTTACAGCTGAACTTTATAAAATATTATTTTCAATATTCTTGATGATATTCACTCTTAAAAGTCCCTTTTTGACATTTTTCTTGATCTCTAATTACTATATTTCTATGTACAACTCTATCCAGCAGGAAATAACTTGATCTAAAATATCTATAATTATTGGTCCTTAAGAAGTATGTACCAGAAAGACAGAAATCTGATAGAGAAAAGACAGTTCTATTTAGTATGTTGCTTGGATTAATAAGTCAGTTTATGCTATTTATTTCCAGCATAAAGGAGTTGGCTGGCAAAGGGTGACAGAATGATTCAAAGCATGAATTTCTAGTTTTTACTAACTCATGTTTGGAATATGGCTTTATTATACTGTTGAAAGGAATGCAAATTCTGTGAACACACACACACACACCCCACAAGTTCTGGTGCATGAAATAATAAATCCTTGGGAGCATATTTTTGATTCCCTATGCTCCTATTCTCTGCCATTACTATAGAAAAGATCTCAAGAAATTAGTTACATTTGTTAGTGCAGAAAAAGCCTGTTTTACTAACAGTGCACAGTTCTAGCCAGCGCTGTCCTTCCAAAAGGAAATGACAAACAAGAAACCACAATTTCATACCCTGGCAATCCTAAAGTACATCTCTTCCCAGAGTTTTAGAACCTCATTCTGTTTTCTCACTCCCATAATGGTATACAGAGACCAGGGTCTTATGATGTTTATTCTTGTGTCTTTAAAAATAATTTTTCACTTTAGTTATAATTTCTCGATAGAAAATCAGCTTACAATGACCTTATTCATCCCTATTACTATATTGTGTTTAATAAGTGGTATAAGCAGAGATTGAAATTGTAATTCTATATTTACAAGGTTAGAAGAAGCAATTACCTATTACTAATGTATTAAAAACAATTTCCCTAGGAAAAGCAAATCATGACAAGTCCTTCTATGGAGAGAGGAGAGGAGAGGAAGGAAAGCTGGGGCTGCCAGAGCTGCCAGACCTTGCTCTTGGCTGAACCAAGAAAGGGCAAGTTTCTTGCAGAAGTATTGTCACAATACCTGTTCAGCAATCCATGTGTACCTCCCAATTCCTACCCACATGGAGCAAACTATCTCTTACTGAAATCATAGTTTCATACTCAAGCCACTCTTTCACCATGCTCCCTAAAATTCTTACTTACGAAAAGTACTTACATTCTCTGCATTTTTCTAAGAGTCTTAGACACATTACCGTCAGTGAAACATAGCTTTTTTTCTGAGATATTACTTCTCCTTCAACTCTGGAGTTGAAGTTCACTTATGGGGTCCATTTGTGCTTCTACAGCCCTCTAATTGAGGCCAAGGGGCTGGGAGGCAGTGGGAGAGGGTGTACGTTTCTGACTTGGAATTCTATCATCTTTGAAGTTCAAGGCATTGCAAAGACAGGCTCTACTACCCTTTTAGCTTCATCAATCTTCATTCAATCACTCCCTGGTCATTCCTGTCACTCCTACAGATGCATCCACACCATCCTCTAATCACATTCCTGAAAAAAGCTGGAACCAGGTTCATCTCATCTTCTAACATCCTGTTCAACATGCTAATGGTCCTTTAACTCTTTTTCCTTCAAAAACCTGCCTCTCCTCTATTCTGAATCCACTCATAGGGCTACATTCTGAGACTTAACTTCATTATTCTGAAGTCATTCACTTTTAAAATTTTGAACTGGACGTTATTTTAATTATCAAGTCACACAGTCTATTTTTTTTTTTAATCTGTTTGGCAACTGCCTCTAGTTAAACCATACTGGCAACTCCTTTGAAATATATTCTTCCCAGGGATGCAAGAGTCTGGGCTCTGGAGCCAAACTGTCTGGATTTAGGTACTAGCCTCACCACTTACTAGTTACATAATGTTCCCAGTTACTGAACCTCTCTGGGCCTCCTTTTCCTCATTTATAAAATGGTGATAATAATGTACATTCCTCATAGAGTTGTTTGGATTAAATATTTAAGTACATGCAAACACTTATAAAAGTACCTGGGACATCATTTGTGCTCAATAAATGTCAATCACAAAATCTTTCTGGCTTTCATACTATGAAATGCACAGATGTTAAGGATAGAATTCAATTAGTTTTGACCACATCATACTCCTGCATACCACCACCCATCAAGACATAGGATGTTTTAATTGCCCCAGACAGATCCTGTGCAGCTTCCCAAATAATCTGAGAACTCACCCATCATAGGGGCAACCACTGATTTCTTTCACCTTAGATGATTTGTGTTTGTTCTATAACTTTATATAAATGGAATCACAGTAAATGGTGTCTTTCACTCAGCATAATATTTAAGGCTCATGAGTGTTGTGTATATTGGTAGTTTTTTTTTTATTTTGCTGAGTAGTACTCCACTTGGTGAATACACCACAATTTGCTCGTTCTTCTGTTTTGAACAGTTAGATTATTTCAAGGTTTTGGCTATTATGAATAAAGCTGTTGTTTATTGGTATCTGTGCCAATACCACAGTGTCTTAATTACTTATGCTTTAAACCAAGCCTTGAAATCATGAGGTATAAGTAATTTTTGGAAATTGTTTTGACTATTCTAGGTCTTTTGACTTTCCATATAAATTTTAGAATTGGTCTGCTAATTTCTGCAAAAACAGCCTGCTGAGATTTCAACTGGAATTAGATTGAATCTACGGATCAATATAGAGAGCACTGGCATCTTAACAAACAAATAGTCTTGCAATCCATGAACACAGTATCTCTCTCCATTTATGTAGGTCTTCTTCGATTTCTCTCAGCAGTTCTACAGTTTTCAATGTAAACATCTATATACATATACATTGTTGAATTTATTCATGAGTATTCAGAGTTTTAATGATATTGTAAATATCTTTAAACCCTGAAATTTTTAATTGTTTATTGCTAGTGTATAGAAATACAACTGATTTTGGTATATTGACTTATCTTATATGCTGTCACTCTGCTAAACTCATTTACTCTAGTAGGTTGTTTTGTTTTTATAGATTCCTTAGAATTGTTTACATAAATGATGACGTTGTTTGCAAAGAAAGTTTTACATTTTCCTTTCCAATCTGTCTATTTTTAATTTTTTAATTCTCTTTCTGCATAGGCTGGGTCCTCTAGTCCTCTAATACAATGCTGAATACAAGTGGTTAGGGTGGATATTCTTTTTTTTTTTTTTTTTTTTTTTTTTGAGACAGGGCTTTGCTCTGTAGCCCAGGCTGGAGTGTAGTGACATGATCACTGCCAGTGGAGGCTGACTGCAGCCTCCGCTTCCCAGGCTCAGGTGATCCTCCCACTTCAGCTTCCCAAACAGCTGGGACCACAGCCATAAGCCAACATGTCTGGCTAATTTTAAAAAATTATTTGTAGAGATGGGGGTCTCCATATGTGGTCCAGGCTGGTCTCGAACTCCTGGGCTCAAACAATCCTCCTGTCTCAACCTCTTAAAGTGTTGGGAATACAGGCATGAGCCACCATGCCCAGCCATAGTGGATAGTCTTGCCTTGTTTCCCATCTTAGGGAGTAAGCAGTCAATATTTTATCGTAAGTGTGATTTAATTGTAGGCTTTTCACAAAGGCCCTTTACCAAGTTCAAGAAGTTTCCTTCTATTCCTAGTTTAATGTAAATATTTATCATAAAGTGCTCATAAATTTGTTCAAATAATTTCTCTGTATCTATTGAGATAATCTTACGATTTTCCCCCTTTATTATGCTAATGTGATAAAATTACATTGACTTTCAAATCAAGACCAACCTTGAAATCCTGGAATAAATGCCACTGGATCATGGTGTTAAGGAGCCATATGTCCACGTTCATGAGGGATACTGATTTATAGCTCTTTTGAGAACTTTTACTATCTTTGTCTGATTTTGTATCAATTACACTGGCCTGATGTATAAGTTGGGAAATGTTCCTCCTTATTTATTATTTGAGAAAAATGTTTAAAGTTGGTATTATTACTTCCTTAAATTTTAGAAGAATTATCTGTAAAGCAAACTGGACCTGGATTTTATTTTTTGGAATGTTTTTCAAATTCACTTTCTAAAAATAGTTATAAGGCTATCCACATTTTCTATTTCTTCTAGTATCAATTTTAGCAATTTGTGTCTTTAAAAGAATTTTCCCACTTATCTAAGTTGTCAAATTCACTGGCATAAAATTGTTAATAATATTCCTTTAGTTTCCTTTTTCCCCACTTTCATTCTTGGTATTGGCAATGTGTATGTTCTTTTTTTTCTTGATTAGTCTAGCTAGTGATTTATCACTTTTATTAATCATTTCAAAGAACCAATTTTTGGTTTCATTAATTTCTCCATCACCCATTTTTTATTTCATTGAATTATTATTTAATTACTTCTATCTTTCTGTACACATCAGTTTAATTTCCTTGTTTTTCTACCTTTCTTAGATGCTTATATAATTAATTTTAAGACTTTTTTCTTTTTGAATGTAATCATTAAAAGCTATAAATTTCCCTTTAGGCAGTGACTGCTTCAGATACATCCCACACATTTTGGTGTGCTTTATTTTCAATATCATTTAAAATCAGCTATACTGTTTTCTAATATTCTAATTTTTTTTTACATATAGATGACTTAGAAGTATGTTACTTTATTTCAAAGTGCTTGGGGATTATCCAATTATCTTTTTTATTGATACATAATTTAATTCCCTTATAGCACAGGGCATCCTATGTATGATTTCAATCTTTTAAATTTGTTAAATATGGCCTAACATATCATATATTTTGGTGAATGTCCAATGTGCACTTGAAAATTATGTGTATTCTGCACTTGTCAGGTGTTCTACAAATGTCAAATAGGTCAGATTGGTAGTGTTTTTCAAGTCTATATCTTTAGTGATTGTCAATTTCTGAGGAAGGAGTCTTGAAATTTCCAGCTACACTTGCATATTTACCATTCTGTGTTTAGTTTTGTTAGTTTTTGCTTCTTGCATTTTGAAGCTTTGTTATTAGATGTGTGCACATTTAGCACTGTTATATCTTCTTCATCATTTAACCTCCTTATCATTGTGAAACATCTCTCATTACATAATATTCCTTGTCCTGAAGTCTAATTTGTCTGCTATTAGTATACGTACTCTAGCTTTTTTATGATTAGTATTTGCATGGTATATCATCTTACTTTCATCTTTTTATTTGTAACCTGTGTCTTTAGATTTAATGTGCACTTTTTATAAATAGCATGCAATTGTCCCTTGCTTTTAATTCAACCTAACAATCTCTGCCTTTTAATTGGAGCATTTAGTCCATTTCCACTTAATATAATGACTTTGATACGTTTGAGTTGAAGGCTACCATCTTGCTCTTTGTTTTCAATTTGTCCCATCTGTTCTTTGTTCAGTTCTCTATTCCTACAATCTTTTGGATTGAAAACATTTTTTAGCATTCCGTTAACCTCCTCAATTGGCTGACTAGTTATTGCTACGGTTTGGATATGGCTTATTTGGCCCCACCAAGTCTCATGTTGAAAGTTCGTGCCCAATGTTAGAGATGGGGCCTGGTGGGGGTGTTTGGGTCATGGAGGCAGATCCCTCATGAATGGCTTGGTGCCATTCTCACGGGAGTGAATGAGTTCTCACTCTTAGTTCTCATGAGAACTGGTTGATGAAAAGAGTCTGACAATGCCTCCTCTTTCTTTCTCTGTCTCCCTTGTTTCAACTCTCACTATCTGTGCACAGGCTAGCTCCTCTCCCCCTTCCACCAAGAGTGGATGCAGTCCGAGGCTCTTCCCAGATTCAGATGCCAGTGCCATACTTCTTGTACAGCCTGAAGAACCATAAGCCAAATAAACCTTTTTTGTTTATAAATTATCCAGCTTCAGATATTCCTTTATAGCAACACAAATGGGCGAAGATAGTTATACTTCTTTGTTCTGTTTTTTTTTCAATCGTTTCATTAGGGTTTGCAATGTGGATCTTTAACTTATCACAATTTAGCTATGTCATATTATCCATGACATAATATTAGAATATGTCATAGACAAGAAGCTCATAAAAGTATATTACCATCTCCACCACTGTTTGTGTCATTGTCATATATTTTACTTCTACATGTTATAAAATTATATATATATGCATCATTCTCCGATCTCAGTCCCCCAAGTAGCTGGGACTACAGGTGTGTGCCACCACACCTGGCTAATTTTTATATTTTTAGTAGAGATGGGGTTTCGCCATGCTGCCCAGGTTAGTCTTGAATTCCTGAGCTCAGGTAATCCACCCACCTCAGCCTCCCATAGTGCTGGGATTACAGGTGTGAGCCACTGCACCCAGCCCCAAAATACATTACTAATTTTGCTTTAAACAATCAAATACTTTTAAACGAATTGTAATAATGAATGATTTCTTTTTAGATTTAGCTATATATTTACCATTACTGGCATTCTTTGTTCTTTGATTTAGATCCAAATTTCCATGTAGTATATATAATTTTTTTCAGTTTTGACAACTTCCTTTAATATTTTCGTAGCATCAGTTTACTGGCAATGGATTCTCTCAGCTTTTTAGTCTGAAAATGTCTTTATTTTGTCCCAATTTTTGAAGAATGTCTTCACTGGCTAAAGAATTCTAGATTGACAAATACATCCCCCAATCTCCCACCAACTACACCATTCCATTATCTTCTTATTTTATGACAGGAAGTTTATGATGGGAAGTTGGTAACAAGCTTATTACTGTTTTCTGGCATATAATGTATCTTTTACCTCTGGCTGCTTTTAAGATTCTTTCTTTATCACTCTTTTTTCAGCAACTTGATTATGATATACTATGGTGTTGTTTTTGTATGTGTGTGCCTGTATTATTTCCTCAGCTTATGATTTGTTGAGCTTATTCAATCTGTATATTTTTAAAATTTCAAACAATTTCAAATATTACTTCTATAAATTTTCTTCTCTTACTCTCTCTCTGCTTGCCTTCTGGTACTGCAATCACATACATACTAGACTGTGTGATACTGTTTCACAGTTCAGTCAGACTCTGCTCATTTTGTTTTAGGTTTTTTCTCCCTCTCTGTGCTTTAGTTTGCATAGTTTCTATATTCCTGATTTCAATTTTACTGACATTCTCCAGTGTTTAACCTGGTGTTATACCCATCCAGTGAATCTTTTATTTCAGATACCGTATTTTTTTTCAGTTCTAGAATGCAAAAAATTTTTTAAAATTATAGATTAAGGGGTACACATCCAGATTTGTTACATGAATATATTGCTTATGGTGAGGTTTGGGCTTCTAGTGTGCCCATCACCTAAATAGTAAACATTGCAACCAATAGGTAATTTTTCAACCATTACCCCGCTTCTAGCCTCCCCCGACTTTTAGACTAGCCAGTGTCTATTGTTTCTCTCCATATGTACATGTGTATCCATTGTTTAGCTCCCATTTATGAGTAAGAATGCATGGTATTTGATTTTCTGAGTTATTTTGTTTAGGATAATGGCCTTCAGTTCCATCATGTTGCTGCAAAATATATGATTTCATTCTTTTTTTATGGCTGTGCAGTATTTCATGGTATACATACCACATTTTCTTTACCCAATCATCTGATGATGGACACTTAGGTTGATTCCATGTCTTTGCTATTGTGAATAGTTCTGTAATAAACATATTAGGGCAGATGTCTTTTTGATATGAGGATTTCTTTTCCTTAGGGTAGACATCCAGTAGTGGGATTACTGGGCCAAATGGTAGTTCTATTTTCAGTTCTTTGAGAAATGTCCACAGTGTTTTCCATAGAGGTTGTGCTAATTTATATTCCTACCAACAGTGTATAACCATTCTCATTTCTCCATAACCTCACCAACATCTGTTGTTTTTTGACTTTTTAATAATAGCTATTCTGACTCATGTGTGATGGTATTTCACTGTGGTTTTAATTTGCATTTCTTTGACGATTATTGATGTGGAGGATTTTTTTCATATTTTTGTTGGCCACTGTTTGTCTTCTTTTGAGAAGTGCCTGTTCACACCCATAGCTCACTTTTTAATGGGGTTATTTGTTTTTTTCTTGTTATCTGAGATCTTTGTAGATTGTGAATTTTATTTTTATAGTTTTTATTTCTCTATTTATGTTCCCCCCTTGTTTTCTCATTATGAACATATTTTCTTTAAATCCTTTAATATATTTATAATAATTGTTTTAAAGCCCTTGTCTCCTCATCCTATTATCTTTGTCATGTCTGGGTCTGTTTCTAGTCCCTGATTTTTTTTTCTGCTAGTTATGGGGTTTCCCCACTTTGTATATCTAGAAATTTTGTTTTTATCCTATGCTGGACATTGTGACTACTGTGTTGTTGAGTTTCTAGATGTTGTTATCATTCCTAAAAAGAGTTTTTAAATGTTGCTCCAAGAGAAAATTAATTTACTTACAATCATCCCCAACATGGCTAGGAAAGTCTGATATTTTCCTCCAGTAGTACTTATAAGACTAGTTTGGTGTTTACCATAGCCCGTTATCAATAATTATTTACATGTTTGCCTTTTCTGCCATATTATAATCTCCTCAAGGAGAAAGACCATGTTCCATTCACCTTTGGGTTCATATCATCTGGCACAGACCTTGGCCCACAGCAGGAACTCGATCAATATTTGCTAATTAAAATAAACTGTAAGTTCAGAGGTTTATGATGATACCATATTTACAAGTTAATAAGCATGGATTCATGTCAATAGAAAATAGTAAAGTAATAACAACATCAACTAACAGACTGAGCACTTACTATGAGTATGGCACTGTTTTTAAGTCATAGGCTACTCAATCCTAACAACTGGTCTATTAAGCAAGTTCTATTATTGCACTGTCTAACTGTTGAGGAAACTAAATCAGAGAGATCAACTGATTTGCTCAAGGGCCTATAGTCAGGAAGTGACAGAACCAGAATCTGAACCCATAGAATCTAGCTCCAGAGGTCACATGTTAATCTTAACAGCATTCTGCCAATTTAAGTATTTTAAAAATGGGGTGACCCTAAAACTAAAGCTAGGTAATCATCTGTTTTCCAGAATAAACTTATTTTGAATTAGTTATGCCTACTTAACCATTCAGGACCAGCATAAGAAGGCATAAGACAGTTCTCCTTTCTCCAGATTTCTTCAATACCCATATTAGACTGAGTAAGTAGGGAAAGAAAAAAGATATTTAAAAATAATATTCAGGCCAGGCACAGTGGCTCATACCTGTAATCCCAGCACTTTGGGAGGCTGAGGAAGGTGGATCATTTGAGGTCAGGAGTTAGAGACCAGCCTGCCCAACATGGTGAAACCCTGTCTCTACTAAAAATACAAAAACTAGCCAGGTGTGATGGCAGCCGCCTATAGTCCCAGATACTCAGGAGGCTGAGGCAGGAGAATTGTTTGAACCTGAGAGGCAGAGGTTGCAGTGAGCCGAGATCATGCCACTATACTCCAGCCTGGGCGACAGAGTGCGTGAGACTCCATTAAAAAAAAAGAAGAAGAAGAAGAAAAAAAGAAAAAATAATAATATTCACATAAATGAGATGAAAACATTAAAAAACTCTCAATCAAGTACCATCAACATTACAATGAATTCTAGGTTAGAATGACATCATTAAGACACATTCTCTAATTGTATTTTGTACGTATTTCTAAACGACCTTTTGTCTGAATAAACCTGCCTCCTCCATTCCCTTCTCATTCAATGACACTCAAAAAATTAAACACTATTAAAAACCTCAAACTTCTACATCATTGGCTCTATGGGAAAAATGATCCATGAGGGGAAGTTTTAAAAACATTATACCAGACTTCCAGTTTGTAATAAAAGTTATAAAATATTCCATCAGAGCTGTGGTTCAAGATGGAATAGCTCCTAAAGAGTAATTTTATCCATTTAAATGACAAACACTGGGTATCTGAATTCTAGAGGTTACTAAAAGACTCTGGCATTGTAATTTATCATATCACTTTGTTATATCTCCAATGAATGATTTATGCTGAATGATATCTCATAATTGAACTTCTTATTCAAATGGAATTAAACTTACTGTACATTAATACATACTTTGGTAACGAGACATTGATGTTCATCTGACACCAGCATCAACTAATTGAAATTACATTAAAGAAGTAAGATTGATTCTAGTGAGTCTCAACTAAGTGGGTACTTCTATTTAATCGGATAGTTTTTAATTTTTAAAATTGTTCTTGCCATTGAAAACCCAAGTTAAAAGCATAAATTATTATAACTTAAATATTAAAGTGACTCTTCACAGCTAAAAATAACATGAAATATAAAAATTTTTATTTGAAAGAAACATTTAAAGGCATTTGGGACAGAAAGTGGCCCATATATAAATATTCATTTTGGTGTGGCTAGAAGAATATTAACTTTATTTGCAGCCTCTGGCTAACTAAAGGCTTTAGCTAAAAAACCAAGGCAAAGTGGACCATTCGGCAATTATCCTGTAAATCAAGGGTTGCCAATGTACACCTAGAAGGCCCAGGCAGAAAACTGAAATGAGTGAAGCAAGAAGGGTCTGAGTCCACCTGCATACCTTATGAGTACACAGAGGATTCAACTTTACAGAAGAGCTTGCAGCTTCTTAGAAGTGTGCCATTACTACTTAGCTCCCACCAAGTGCTTGTGTGAGATAAGGCAGGTTCAATGTTGAGAAATCTGACCTTTTTCAAGGAAGGTCTGAAATTAGGAATTTTACGTGAAATTTCCTGATTTATAAGTGCTAGCTGAAATGCTTTTAGAATGCTGTTTTGAGGTTTGCCAACAAAATATTCTACTAGTTCCTAAGGGGTAGAAAGAAGTGAAGAGTGCTTTGGCAAAAACAGAGAACTGGGGCCAATACCACATCAACAACAGGAAGGCCACTAGAGATGGCATCTTGAATGGGTGAGATGCTCTCTGCCACCTTGCTGCTCTCTGGAGAAATTTCCCCTAAAACACAACTCAGCTTTAATTAAATAAGGGCTCTTTGGGAATAGAGTATACTAGCAGTGGAAAGGAAAGACCCTCTGCTGCCAAGCACCTCTTGGATTGGGAGGAATGAGAGCAAGTTTTCAAACCAAATTTCTTAATATTTGAATACTCCTCGGCATTTGTGGAATCACCAAGCACATTTAGAAAGCTTATATAATTTGACCATGATAAACTCATTTTTTTTCTCCCATGTCAGGAGATACATTAAGATTTGTCAATTTGTTCAATAAACATTTATTGATCACTTACTATATGCCATGCACTAATAGGGACTGGAGATGATACACTTGTAGTCTACTGGTAAAATAAGATATGCTTGTAGTCTACTGGGGAAAACAGACAAGTAAATAGATTGTTAAAGTGCAAGGTGGAGAGGTATTATGAGGGTTATGAAATTGTGAATGGCAATGATGAGCTATGCCCAAAATATCTACTCTGCAGAGGGAAAACCATAGTGCGCTTCCTGGAAGAAGTAGCATCTATAGATCAGACAGGACTTATAATCCTTATCTAGGACTTACTCTATGCCAGGCACTGTTCTAAGAGCTTTATGCTTATTAATTCATGTAAATCCCCACAACAACCTTAATGGTGTGTATACTTCAGGTAACTGCATTTTATAGATGAGGAAAATGATACAGGAACTTTGCACAGGCTCACAAAACTAGTAAGTATCAGAATCCAGATTCTACGTTCTTAACCCCTACATACTATTTATATGTTATATATGTAATAAAATATAGAGTAATTAGAACATATTATGAGTAATTATGACTTGATGATCTCACTGCATTGGCATATGGGCCTGAGGAGAACACTACGGAAACAAATGCCCTATCTGTTTCTTATTGTTTAGACTGCTTCAAATTTTTTCTAGATTTACCCATATTCAGAAGGAAAGTTCTAGATATGCTATGACTGTTTTGCTTTTTAAAATTTAGCATAACATGAGCTGAAGTCACCTAGGGTAGTCACTAATATGATTTCTTCATATCACTAATTTTTTAACAGCCATATTTATCTTTCTTGCCTATATCTCCTTTTTTTTATATTCTCTATTGAGCCACTTGCCCAGGGGTAGAAACATGAGGAAGACAGATGAATTGAAAAGGATTAGGAAACTTTGCTCCACAGTACCTATTATAGCTCCTTTCTTTATAGTTTAAATACTAAATTGTTTATGTCATTACACACCCAGCACTGTAAACACGTAACACACATTCATCTGAAAAACTCATTTATCGAATATGAAAGACCTTTCAGTCAAGTTCACTTCCTATCTCATCAAGATACTTGTGTGGTTCACTTATAATGGAAAGATGGCATTTTATTTTCAAATACTGGATTTTCATGAATGTGCACTATGTGTGTGGGTTACAGCCACATACATAATACTCAGATTTTGATGAAATATCTAGACTTCAGAGTTAGTTAACTGACAAGGGTGACTGAACTCACAAAAGCAAGGTAGTGACAAATTTGATTTATTAACTACACACTGAATAGTGTATTTATCTCACATGGGCTTTAACTCTTAGAAACCACCTAACACTGAACTCTGAAGAATCTTACATGAATAAGGAAATCAATACCTAAACATAAAATGATGAATACAATTTTATTTGTAAGGCATTTCCCTAAATGTCTTAAATGGTTTAACTTCAATAACTGGAGTCACATTTAATGTTCAAGCATTTATGGATATTTAATATTAAATGAATTTTTAAAACTTCTACTGCAAACAGAAACCATCCATTTATTCCATAATCAAGCTCATTTTTATTACAGGGCTGCCAATCTCCAAAGTTATATTTAATTCCCATTCTTTACTTATGTCTACATGAACAGCAAGCCCAGTGGATCTGCCTACTGAAAGAAATGGTCAGTATGCACTCCATGCTGCCACTTTCCATTCTCTTAGCTCATGGCCCTGTCTCTTTCCTGATATACCAGAACTTCTTATTGAAGTTACTTATGATTGCCACGCTCCCTAAATACTTTCCAATATCAACTGTTCTCCCTTGTTGGAACCTCCTTGGTTCTCTTCAGCAACACTAGATCACTGGGTTTGTCTGCACACCACACAGCTACCCTTAATGCTGCTTGTTCTCTTCCAGGAGCACTACTCTCCCCTTCTTCAACTGGTTAATGCCTTCCTGTCTTTCAAGGCCAAGCTCAGGCACCCACTTCTTCAGAGGGCCTTCTCTGACCACTCTCCTTTTACTCTGTAGTTCATTCTGACTCTTGCTCTCACAGAATGTACCACATTGTATGGAAAAGGTCTGTTTACATACATGTCTTAGCTCATCTGACTTTAAGTTTCTGATGTTGCTTCACATCCATTCCTCCACTGCTCCCCCGACTGCCCCCACAGTCCTCACTAACCCTAATCTGGATGACTGCAAAAAACTTCCTCACTTCCAATTTCTACACCCTCCAAATCACTGCAAATATTACTATCAGATTAATCTTCCCAAAGCACAGAACTGACTGTGTGGTCCTTCTCTAGCCCAAAAGCTTTAATGGCTTCCTTTTCAAATCCACCACAGTAGTTCCCAAAGAGTGGAACATGTACCTTTTGTGAAATGATTTTAGACGGTACATGGGTGTGGCATTAAATAACTCTGGATCCCAGAATAAAAATGTCCCTTTGTCAGTTTTCCTTCAGTCCTAACTATGACAGGGAGAATAGCTGAACATGTATCTAATCCTTGATAAACTCTTTTTAACAAACAGCAGCCCTCAGGACAGAGCCTTAAACAAGAAACAGTACCCAGTTAGACCTCAAAATATTGTTTTGTTTTCAGTATGTTTATTTTTATGTTGTATTTTGGGAAAATTACACTGGTTTTCCACTTATAAAAGTGGTATAAAGTTTTCTTTTAAATTAAATTTAAGCAGGACTGGCAGCCAAGATGGCCGAATAGGAACAGCTCCGGTCTACAGCTCCCAGCGTGAGCGACGCAGAAGACGGGTGATTTCTGCATTTCCACCTGAGGTACCGGGTTCATCTCACTAGGGAGTGTCAGACAGTGGGCGCAGGACAGTGGGTGCAGCGCACTGTGAGCGAGCCGAAGCAGGGCGAGGCATTGCCTCACTCGGGAAGCACAAGGGGTCAGGGAGTTCCCTTTCCTAGTAAAAGAAAGGGGTGACAAATGGCACCTGGAAAATTGGGTCACTCCCACCCGAATACTGCGCTTTTCCGATGGGGCTTAAAAAACGGCGCACCAGGAGATTATATCACACACCTGGCTCGGAGGGTCCTACGCCCACGGAGTCTCACTGAATGCTAGCACAGCAGTCTGAGATCAAACTGCAAGGTGGAAGCGAGGCTGGGGGAGGGGTGCGCGCCATTGCCCAGGCTTGCTTAGGTAAACAAAGCAGCCAGGAAGCTCGAACTGGGTGGAGACCACCACAACTCAAGGAGGCCTGCCTGCCTCTGTAGGCTCCACCTTTGGGGGCAGGGCACAGACAAACAAAAAGACAGCAGTAACCTCTGCAGACTTAAATGTCCCTGTCTGACAGCTTTGAAGAGAGCAGTGGTTCTCCCAGCACACAGCTGGAGATCTAAGAACGGGCAGACTGCCTCCTCAAGTGGGTCCCTGACCCCTGACCCCTGAGCAGCCTAACTGGGAGGCACCCCCCAGTAGGGGCAGACTGACACTTCACACGGGCGGGTACTCCTCTGAGACAAAACTTCCAGAGGAACGATCAGACAGCAGCATTCGCGGTTCATGAAAATCTGCTGTTCTGCAGCCACCGCTGCGGATACCCAGGCAAATAGGGTCTGGAGTGGACCTCTAGCAAACTCCAACGGACCTGCAGCTGAGGCTCCTGTCTGTTAGAAGGAAAACTAACAAACAGAAAGGACATCGACACCAAAAACCCATCTGTACATCACCATCATCAAAGACCAAAAGTAGATAAAACCACAAAGATGGGGAAAAAACAGAGCACAAAGACTGGAAACTCTAAAAAGCAGAGCACCTCTCCTCCTCCAAAGGAACGCAGTTCCTCTCCAGCAACGGAACAAAGCTGGACGGAGAATGACTTTGACGAGTTGAGGAAGAAGGCTTCAGATGATCAAACTACTCCGAGCTACAGGAGGAAATTCAAACCAAAGGCAAAGAAGTTAAAAACTTGGAAAAAAATTTAGACGAATGTATAACTAGAATAACCAATACAGAGAAGTGCTTAAAGGAGCTGATGGAGGTGAAAGCCAAGGCTTGAGAACTACGTGAAGAATGCAGAAGCCTCAGGAGCCCATGCGATCAACTGGAAGAAAGGGTATCAGTGATGGAAGATGAAATGAATGAAATGAAGTGAGTAGGGAAGTTTAGAGAAAAAAGAATAAAAAGAAACAAACAAAGCCTCCAAGAAATATGGGACTATGTGAAAAGACCAAATCTACGTTTGATTGGTGTACCTGAAAGTGATGGGGAGAATGGAACAAAGTTGGAAAACACTCTGCAGGATATTATCCAGGAGAACTTCCCCAATCTAGCAAGGCAGGCCAACATTCAGATTCAGGAAATACAGAGAATGCCACAAAGATACTCCTCAAGAAGAGCAACTCCAAGACACATAATTGTCAGATTCACCAAAGTTGAAATGAAGGAAAAAATGTTAAGGGCAGCCAGAGAGAAAGGTCGCATTACCTACAAAGGGAAGCCCATCAGACTAACAGCTGTTCTCTCGGCAGAAACTCTACAAGCCAGAAGAGAGTGGGGGCCAATATTCAACATTCTTAAAGAAAAGAATTTTCAACCCAGAATTTCATATCCAGCCAAACTAAGCTTCATAAGTGAAGGAGAAATAAAATCCTTTACAGACAAGCAAATGCTGAGACATTTTGTCACCACCAAGCTTGCCCTAAAAGAGCTCCTGAAGGAAGCACTAAACATGGAAAGGAACAACCAGTACCAGCAACTGCAAAATCATGCCAAATTGTAAAGACCATCGAGGCTAGGAAGAAACTGCATCAACTAATGAGCAAAATACCCAGCTAACATCATAATGACAGGATCAAATTCAGACATAACAATATCAACTTTAAATGTAAATGGACTAAATGCTCCAATTAAAAAACACAGACTGGCAAATTGGATAGAGACAAGACCCATCAGTGTGCTATATTCAGGAAACCCATCTCACGTGCAGAGACACACATAGGCTCAAAATAAAAGGATGGAGGAAGATCTACCAAGCAAATGGAAAACAAGAAAAGGCAGGGGTTGCAATCCTAGTCTCTGATAAAACAGACTTTAAACCAACAAAGATCAAAAGAGACAAAGAAGGCCATTACATAATGGTAAAGGGATCAATTCAACAAGAACAGCTAACTATCCTAAATATATATGCACCCAATACAGGAGCACCCAGATTCATAAAGCAAGTCCTGAGTGACCTACAAAGAGACTTAGACTCCCACACAATAATAATGGGAGACTTTAACACCCCACTGTCAACATTAGACAGATCAACGAGACAGAAAGTTAACAAGGATACCCAGGAATTGAACTCAGCTCTGCACCAAGCGGACCTAATAGACATCTACAGAACTCTCCACCCCAAATCAACAGAATACACATTCTTTTCAGCACCACACCACACCTATTCCAAAATTGACCACATAGTTGGAAGTAAAGCTCTCCTCAGCAAATGTAAAAGAATAGAAATTATAACAAACTGTCTCTCAGACCACAGTGAAATCAAACCAGAACTCAGGATTAAGAAACTCACTCAAAACCACTCAACTACATGGAAACTGAACAACCTGCTCCTGAATGACTACTGGGTACATAATGAAATGAAGGCAGAAATAAAGATGTTCTTTGAAACCAATGAGAACAAAGACACAACATACCAGAATCTCTGGGACACGTTCAAAGCAGTGTGTAGAGGGAAATTTATAGCACTAAATGCCCAAAAAGAAAGCAGGAAAGATCCAAAATTGACACCCTAACATCACAATTAAAACAACTAGAAAAGCAAGAGCAAACACATTCAAAAGCTAGCAGAAGGCGAGAAATAACTAAAATCAGAGCAGAACTGAAGGAAATAGAGACACAAAAAACCCTTCAAAAAATTAATGAATCCAGGAGCTGGTTTTTTGAAAGGATCAACAAAATTGATAGACCACTAGCAAGACTAATAAAGAAGAAAACAGAGAAGAATCAAATAGGTGGAATAAAAAATGATAAAGGGGATATCACCATCGATCCCACAGAAATACAAACTACCATCAGAGAATACTACAAACACCTCTATGCAAATAAACTAGAAAATTTAGAAGTAATGGATAAATTCCTCGACACATACACCCTCCCAAGACTAAACCAGGAAGAAGCTGAATCTCTGAATAGACCAATAACAGGCTCTGAAATTGTGGCAATAATCAATAGCTTACTAACGAAAAAGAGTCCAGGACCAGATGGACTCACAGCCGAATTCTACCAGAGGTACAAGGAGGAACTGGTACCATTCCTTCTGAAACTATTCCAATCAATAGAAAAAGAAGGAATCCTCCCTAACTCATTTTATGAGGCCAGCATCATCCTGATACCAAAGCTGGGCAGAGACACAACCAAAAAAGAGAATTTTAGACCAATATCCTTGATGAACATTGATGCAAAAATCCTCAATAAAATACTGGCAAACCGAATCCAGCAGCATATCAAAAAGCTTATCCACCATGATCAAGTGGGCTTCTTCCCTGGGATACAAGGCTGGTCCAATATATGCAAATCAATAAATGTAATCCAGCATATAAACAGAACCAAAGACAAAAACCACATGATTATTTCAATAGATGCAGAAAAGGCCTTTGACAAAATTCAACAGCCCTTCATGCTAAAAACTCTCAATAAATTAGGTATTGATGGGACATATCTGAAAATAATAAGAGCTATCTATGACAAACCCACAGCCAATGTCATACTGAATGGGCAAAAACTGGAAGCATTCCCTTTGAAAACTGGCACAAGACAGGGATGCCCTCTCTCACCACTCCTATTCAACATAGTGTTGGAAGTTCTGGCCAGGGCAATTAGGCAGGAGAAGGAAATAAGGGGTATTCCATTAGGAAAAGAGGAAGTCAAATTGTCCCTGTTTGCAGATGACATGATTGTATATCTAGAAAACCCCATTGTCTCAGCCCAAAATCTCCTTAAGCTGATAAGCAACTTCAGCAAAGTCTCAGGATACAAAATCAATGTGCAAAAATCACAAGCATTCTTATATACCAATAACAGACAATCAGAGAGCCAAATCATGAGTGAACTCCCATTCACAATTGCTTCAAAGAGAAGAAAACACCTAGGAATCCAACTTACAAGGGATGTGAAGGACCTCTTCAAGGAGAACTACAAACCACTGCTCAAGGAAATAAAAGAGGATACAAACAAATGGAAGAACATTCCATGCTCATGGGTAGGAAGAATCAATATTGTGAAAATGGCCATACTGCCCAAGGTAATTTATAGATTCAATGCCATCCCCATCAAGCTACCAATGACTTTCTTCACAGAATTGGAAAAAACTACTTTAAAGTTCATATGGAACCAAAAAAGAGCCCGCATCGCCAAGTCAATCCTAAGCCAAAAGAACAAAGCTGGAGGTATCGCGCTACCTGACTTCAAACTATACTACAAGGCTACAGTAACCAAAACAGCATGGTACTGGTACCAAAACAGAGATATAGATCAATGGAATAGAACAGAGCCCTCAGAAATAACGCCGCATATCTACAACTATCTGATCTTTGACAAACCTGAGAAAAACAGCAATGGGGAAAGGATTCCCTATTTAATAAATGGTGCTGGGAAAACTGGCTAGCCATATGTAGAAAGCTGAAACTGGATCCCTTCCTTACATCTTATACAAAAATTAATTCAAGGTGGATTAAAGACTTAAACGTTAGATCTAAAACCATAAAAACCCTAGAAGAAAACCTAGGCATTACCATTCAGGACATAGGCATGGGCAAGGACTTCATGTCTGAAACACCAAAAGCAATGGCAACAAAAGCCAAAATTGACAAATTGGATCTAATTAAACTGAAGAGCTTCTGCACAGCAAAAGAAACTACCATCAGAGTGAACAGGCAACCTACAAAATGGGAGAAAATTTTCACAACCTACTTATCTGACAAAGGGCTAATATCCAGAATCTACAATGAACTCAAACAAATTTACAAGAAAAAAACAAACAACCCCATCAAAAAGTGGGCGAAGGACATGAACAGACACTTCTCAAAAGAAGACATTTATGCAGCCAAAACACACATGAAAAAATGCTCATCATCACTGGCCATCAGAGAAATGCAAATCAAAACCACAATGAGATACCATCTCACACCAGTTAGAATGGCAATCATTAAAAAGTCAGGAAACAACAGGTGCTGGAGAGGATGTGGAGAAATAGGAACAATTTTACACTGTTGCTGGGACTGTAAACTAGTTCAACCATTGTGGAAGTCAGTGTGGCGATTCCTCAGGGATCTAGAACTAGAAATACCATTTGACCCAGCCATCCCATTACTGGGTATATACCCAAAGGGTTAGAAATCATGCTGCTATAAAGACACATGCACACGTATGTTTATTGCGGCACTATTCACAATAGCAAAGACTTGGAACCAAGCCAAATGTCCAACAATGATAGACTGGATTAAAAAAATGTGGCACATATACACCATGGAATACTATGCAGCCATAAAAAATGAAGAGTTCATGTCGTTTGTAGGGACATGGATGAAGCTGGAAACCATCATTCTCAGTAAACTATCGCAAGGACGGAAAACCAAACACCGCATGTTCTCCCGCACAGGTGGGAATTGAACAATGAGAACACATGGACACAGGAAGGGGAACATCACACTCTGGGGACTGTTGTGGGGTTAGGGGACGGGGAGGGATAGCTTTAGGAGATATACCTAATGCTAAATGACGAGTTACTGGGTGCAGCACACCAGCATGGCACATGTATACATATGTAACTAACCTGCACATTGTGCACACGTACCCTAAAACTTAAAGTATAATAATAACAAAATTAAAAAAAAATAAATTTAAGCCAAAAAAAAAAAAGAGAGATAGTGTTGATTTAAAGGAAAGTATCAAGTGCATACCAGAATGGGTAGTACACAAACAGGGTACTGAGAGTAATATTGAAATGACTGAAGTTTGAGAACGACTTGTCAGAAAAATCAGGCCCTTCAGAAGTTATACAACGTACTTAAAATGTCTGAACCCATATCAGGCTCTTGTACTGTCAGACCAATGTTTCCTTAGGGCTCTTTTTCAATCTGGCAACAAGATTAATTGTTCACTGTTCTCCGGAGGTTACCTCTTTCCAGCGTCCACGCTTCTGTCCATGCTGTTGCTTTTGCTGGAATGCCTGGCTTCCTATCTCTCCCTGTTGAAATCTTAGAGTTCTCCCAAGTCCACTCTAAGTGCTATCTCCTTCAGAAAGCCTTCCCCCATCCCCAGTCAGATGGATTCCTTTCCCTTTCACATTACCAATAGCACTTTCTCTCTCCACTGTGCTTTGTAACACAGTTTTGGTGATTTTATAGATGTTCAAATAATTACGTTATTCCACTTAGATGTTAAGCTCTTTCAAGAGAGGGGAAGGAAGGCCATGAATTTTATTCATTTTTTATACCACCATCGTACTTAACAAAGTACCTCACATATGGAGTCAGCCCATAAGTAATATTTGTTGAATTGAATTTAATATTTTAGGCAACATTCATGTGATACTTACAATTTTACGTTTGATCATGAAGAGTGGAATTTTTGCATGAAGAGGGGTGGAGGATAGTTCCTTATGGACCGTTGATAAATATAATCTTCTTTTGATGTTCCCTAAATCAGTAATTCTGAAAACATGGAGGAGAGAAGACAGAAAGATTCCCATCAATTTAATAACCACTTCTTTGGATAATCATCAAAATGATATAATTTATCATACAGACCCTTTTCAACAGGAAGATCAAACACAGAATTTAAGAATTGCCTTTTTCTTTCAAGAAGTAATAAAATTTCTTTCTTAAATTCAAAGTGCTCAGAAGCCTGAATGTATAAATTCACTTAATATGCTAATTTATTTCAGTACTCTACACTAGATTTCCACAGTCCTCCAGCCTATGAAAGAATTCAATTTGGATGAACTGAGAAACTGTTAGCCTTTAATAACCATACTTGTTCCAGCCCCTTAAGCTTGTGTTATCTTGGGACATACTGTCACCTACTAAATAGGAAAACATTATGGGTTTCTTTCCCTAAAAATGCATCTGTCATTTTGTATAGGCTCTTAGTCTGCTTAGAGACAGACACAAAACCCTGGCTGTCGGTTTCACTTCCTAAGCACATATCTTCCAACCAGAATTATAATACACAACTTTATCGCTCACTATTCAGGTCAACCCACAGTGATACCAAGGACACTGAATCTGAACATCTTTAATAGATTTAGACCACAGCCATGATCACAAAGATTAGGTTTGCTTCAAATTGATAGAGGCTCATTTTTATGTTCTCCTTCCTTTAGGTCTCAGAGGTAACACAGCAGGCTTAAAATCTCCAAACCTGTCTCACACTGCTATATTATAGAATTGATGCTTCTTTAAAAACTTTTTATTTGAGAATGATTTTTCCCCGTTATTAGGGAAAAACTTTGTTTAGACACATTACACTGCTAATTTTCTATATTTAGTAATCCCCAAGAAGACAACATCTCATTCAAACGCATCATTGTCAATATTTATAGTGTAATTAACTGTTTTTAAAATTGGCATTGTCTTTTCTACAGCACTTCCGTTCCCCCTCCTTCCCACTTTTCTAATCTCGGTATTGCTCCTCTCTAAACTACTCTACATATCTTTCAGTGAAAAAAAACTATCATTAAACAATGTTAAGAATAAATACAGTAAAAATTAGGTAAGATGATTTCAGAGTATGCTCCAGACCTAAAAATTCCACCCTACTTGCACTAAATGATATCATAAATTCATTTAAAATACAACGTCTTTCAATCCATAGTCAGAGCTAAGGTTTAAAATGCAGAAGTATTAACACTATGGCAGTATTATACCCTGATGTATATACATATATGTAAACATAGTATCACATTTACCCTAAGGCAATGTCTTCAAAGTGGGATGAACACATGGGGAGGGGGAGTGATATGCAACAATCCACTGAAGTGCAGGAAGAAAACATTAGAACTTTCACCTCATCCCCTTAAAATGTTATTTTTGTGCATGTCTCATTATACAGTAGTATAGTAACATATTTATATATTTTCTAAATAAATGCCCCTATATGGCAGGTATGTACAAATATTTTACTAATGGGGTACAGGATCAAATATGTTTGGAAAATCATGTCATCAGAGACGCTATTAGGTCTCTTCTGTAAGTTCTCATTAGGAAATAAAAGGAAAGACTACTGGGATTCTAGAAAGGAAAAGGGAACAAAAAGAGGGACTGCATTAACCAAAAATTCATCTATCACAGTTTTATTAAAGGGCTACTGTGCTTTCATGAATAAAACTACATTTTTTAAAATTTTATTTTTATTTTTTATTTTTTTGAGACAGAGTCTAGCTCTGTCACCCAGGCTGGAGTGCAGTGGCGCAATCTCGGCTCACTGCAAGCTCCACCTCCCGGGTTCACGCCATTCTCCTGCCTCAGTCTCCCGAGTAGCTGGGACTACAGGCACCCGCCACCATGCCTGGCTAATTTTTCGTATTTTTAGTAGAGACAGGGTTTCATGATGTTAGTCAGGATGGTCTCAATCTCCTGACCTCGTGATCCGCCTGCCTCGCCCTCCCAAAGTGCTGGGATTACAGGTGTGAGTCACCGTGCCCGGCCCATTTTTTTTTTTTTTTTTTTTTTTTGAGATGGAGTCTCGCCCTTGTCGCCCAGGCTGGAGTGCAATGGTGCAATCGTGGCTTACTGTAACCTCCGCCTCCCAGGTTCAAGCGATTCTCCTGCCTGAGCCTCCTGAGTAGCTGGGATTACCAGCGCGTGACATTATGCCCAGCTAATTTTTGTATTTTTAGTAGAGACAGGGTTTCATCATGTTGGCCAAGCTGGTCTAGAACTACTGACCTCAGGTGATCGGCCCGCCTGGGCCTCCCAAAATGTTGGGATTACAGGCGTGAGCCACTGTGCCCAGCCAAACTACATATTTTTAATCTAAATAGTTAAGAGTCAAACTCCAAATGGAGGAATGATTGAGTATACTATCACTTCATATGGAACTACAAGAACATTCATTTGTTCATTCATACATTCAACAAAGACTGAGCCAGGAAAATTGCTGGGAGTACGTCAGGGAGACAGCGATGAAAAAGACAAGGTTCCTATCCTACTGGAGCCTCTATTCTTGTGCAAAAGGCAGGTGAATTTTCATGAAATATAGTTTACCATTATTTATGCTAGTGCTTTCTGTGTCCTGAAGAATCCCTGCCCAGGCTAAAGTTGCACAAATACTTTCTTATGTTTCCTTCTACATCTTTATAGTTTGTTTTTACATTTAGTTCGTCCCAAATTAGTTTCTGTGAGTTGTATGACATAGGGGTTGGAGTTCTTTTCTTTCTGTATGTTTATACAATTGTCCCAACACCATTTATTGAAGACTCTCCTTTTTTCACTGAAATGCCCTGGTACTTTGTTGAAAATCAGTTGACCATAAATATATGTGTGTGAGGTTGTATTTCTGGACTGTCTGTTGATTCATTTTTTTCATTGATCCATTTGTCTATTCTTATACCAATAATACACTATCTTGATTACTGTAGATTTAGAGTAAGTCTTGAAACCAGGTAAAGAAACTCTTCAACTTTAGTTTTGTTCAAGATTTGTTTGGGTTTTGCTTTTTCATATAGATTTTAGAATCCATTTATCATTTTCTATTAAAAAGAAGTGTTGAGAGTTTAACTTGGATTGTGTTGAATCTATAGACCAATTTCAGGAGAATGATACTGATCATGTCTACTCACATGATATGTATCTCCAATTATTTAGGCTTTGCTTAATTTCTTTTTTAATGTTTTATAGTTTTCATTTTAGAAGCCCTGCACATCTTTTGTTAAATTTATTCCTAAGTATTTTGTCTTCTGACACAATTGAAAATGAATTTCAAAATTTCATTTCCCAGGGCCAGGCGCAGTGGCTCATGCCTGAAATCCCAGCACTTTGGGAGGCTGAGGCGGGTGGATCACGAGGTCAAGAGATTTAGATGATCCTGGTCAACATGGTGAAACCTCGTCTCTACTAAAAATACAGAAATTAGCTGGGTGTAGTGGCACATGCCTATAATCCCAGCTACTCAGGAGGGTGAGGCAGGAGAATCGCTTGAACCCGGGAGGTGGAGGCTGCAGTGAGCTGAGATTGTGCCACTGCACTCCAGCCTGGCGACAGAGCGAGACTCCGTCTCAAAAAAAAAAAAAAAAAAAAAAAAAAAAAGAAAATTTCACTTCCCAGTCATTTGGTTCTAGTATATAGACATTCAATTGATTTCTCTATATGGTACTTGTTTCCTCTGACCTTTGCTTAATTCACTCTTGAGTTCCAGTAGTTGTTTTGTAGATTCCTGAGGATTTTATACATAAACAATCATGTCCCGGAGTGAATAAAGACTGTTTTACTTCTGCTTTTTCAACTTTATAACTTTCATTTCTTTTTCTTTTTTTTTTGAGATAGAATCTCGCTCTGTGGCCCAGGCTGGAGTGCAGTGGCATGATCTTGGCTCACTGCAAGCTCCGCCTCCTGGGTTCACGCCATTCTCCTGCCTCAGCCTCCCGAGTAGCTGGGACTACAGGCGCCCGCCACTGCCCTCGGCTAATTTTTTGTATTTTTAGTAGCGATGGGGTTTCACCGTGGTCTCGATCTCCTGACCTCGTGATCCGCCCGCCTCGGCCTCCCAAAGTGCTGGGATTACAGACGTGAGCCACTGTGCCCGGCCCTTTCATTTCTTTTTCTTGCATTACCGCAATGGCTAGGGCCTTCAGCACATCTTAAATAGAAATCATTACAATATATACCCTTGCTTTATTCCCAATCACAGGGAGAAAGTGTTCATTATGACCTTATTAAGTATGATGTTAGAGCGTAGTTTACTTTATCACACTGAGGATGTTGTTTTCCATTCTACTTTTTTAGACATTCTTTTTTCAATCATGAAAGGTTGCAGAATTTTGTTAAATGCCTTTTCTATACTGGTTGAAATTATCCTGTTGTTTTTCACCTTTATTCTGTCTATATATTTAATTATACTCATTGATCTTCAAATGTGAAATGAACTTTGTATTCTTGGAGGAAATTTCAATTGGGCTAGTATTTTGTTGAAGATTTTTATGCTGTAAAAGAAAAAATAAAATGATATGTGCCAGCAGATGGCTGAATAGGAACAGTTTCGGTCTGCAGTTCCCAGTGAGATAAATGCAGAAGGCAGGTGATTTCTGCATTTCCAACTGAGGTACCCGGCTCATTTCACTGGGACTGGTTAGACAGTGGTTGCAGTCCATGGAGGGCAAGCCAAAGCAGGGTGGGGCGTTGCCTCACCTGGGAAGTGCAAGGTGTCAGGGAACTCCCTCCCCTAGCCAAAGGAAGCCGTGAGGGACTGTGCCATGAGGAACGGTGCATTCTGGCCCAGATACTATGCTTTTCCCATGGTCTTTGCAACCCACAAACCAGGAAATTCCCTCAGGTGCCTACACCACCAGGGCCCTGGGTTTCAGGCAAAAAACAGGGCAGCTGTTTGGGCAGACATCGAGCTAGCTGCAGGAGTCTTTTTTCGTACCCTAGTGGCACCTGGAACACCAGTGAGACAGAACCCTTCACTCCCCTGGAAAGGGGGTTAAAGCCAGGGAACCAAGTGGTCTTGCTCAGTGGATCCCACCCCCATGGAGGCCAGCAAGCTAAGATCCACTGATTTGAAATTCTCACTGAGAACACAGCAGTCTAAAATCAACCCAGGGCACTAGAGTTTGGTGGGGGAAGCGGCGTCTGCCATTACTAAGGCTCAAGTAAGCAGTCTTCCCCTCACAGTGAAAACAAAGCCACCAGGAATTTCGAACTGGGCAGAGCTCAGTGCAGCTCTGCAAAGCCGCTGTAGCCAGACTGCTTCTCTAGATTCCTCCTCTCTGGGCAGGGCATCTCTGAAAGAAAGGCAGCAGCTCCAGTCAGGCACTTATAGATAAAATTCCCATCTCTTTGGGACAGAGCACCTGGGGAAAGTGGTGGCTGTGGGTGCAGCTTCAGCAGACTTAAATGTTCCTGCCTGCCGGCTCTGAAGAGAGCAGCAGATCTCTCAGCACAGTGCTCGAGCTCTGCTAAGGGACAGACGCCTCAAGTGGGTCCCTGACCCCTGTGCCTCCTGACTGGGAGACACCTCCCAGCAGGGGTCAATAGACACGTCATACAGGAGAGCTCTGCCTGGCGTCTGGCAGGTGCCCCTCTGGGATGAAGCTTCCAGAGGAAGGAACAGGCAGGAATCTTTGCCGTTCTGCAGCCTCTGCTGGTGATACCCAGGGAAAGAGGGTCTGGAGTGGACCTTCAGAAAACTTCAGCAGACCTACAGCAGAGAGGCCTGACTGTTAGCAAAAAACTAACAAACAGAAAGGAATAGAATCAACATGAATGAAAAGGATGTCCACACAAAAACCCCATCCAAAGGTCACTAACATCGAAGACCAAAGGTAGATAAATCCGCGAAGATGAGGAAAAACCAGCACAAAAAGGCTGAAAATTCCAAAAACCAGAACACTTCTTTTACTCCAAAGGATCACAACTCCTCGCCAGCAAGGAAACAAAACTGGACAGAGAATGAGTTTGAGGACTTGACAGAAGTACGCTTCAGAAGGTGGGTAATAATAAACTACTCTAAGCTAAAGGAGCATGTTTTAACCCAATGCAAGGTAGCTAAGAACCTTAAAAATAGTTAGAGGAATTGCTAACTAGAATAACGAGTTTAGAAAAGAATATAAATGACCTGATGGAGCTGAAAAACACAGCACAAGAATGTTGTGAAGCATACGCAAGTATCAATAGCCGAATCAATCAAGCGGAAGAAAGGATATCAGAAAATGAGGATCAACTTAATGAAATAAAGCGTGAAGACAAGATTAGAGAAAAAAGAATGAAAGAGAATGAACAAAGCCTCCAAGAAAGATGGAACTATGTAAAATGACCAAACCTACATTTGATTGGTATACCTGAAAGTGACGGGGAGAATGGAACCAAGTAGGAAAACACTCTTCAGGATATTATCTAGGAGAACTTACCCAACCTAGCCAAGACAGGCCAACTTTCAAATTCAGGAAATACAGAGACCACCACAAAGATACTCCTCGAGAAGAGCAACCTGAAGACACATAATCCTCAGATTCTCCAAGGTTGAAATGAAGGAAAAAATGTTAAGGGCAGCCAGAGAGAAGTAACTATTCTTAAATAGTTGTTTTTAACACTTTTATTCATTTTCTATTTTACAGATGAGAAAATAAGACTCCAGAAATTACCAGCCCATGGATATACAGTTAGTAAGTAGCAGAGACAAGTGTTACCATTCTGTCTTTGAACTTAAAATCCACTGCCATTTCTGTCATGCAACACTATGCCGACTACTATTCCAGGCTGAAGCAGTTTCATTTGTTCACTGTTTACCAAGAGACTAGTATAGACATCGTGCTAAGTGCTCCGAATACAGCAGTACCAAGGATTCCCTGGTTTCTGTCCTTATAGAGTTTACAGTATGGTGAGAACCACAGAACCATATTATATTCTTAAGATAATACTTGTTTCTCTGCTGAAAACCACTCCCCTTTCACTTCTCCCTCTCTCTCACTGCTTTAGAACCTCTTCCTGCTTCATTCTGGATCCAGTTTTCCAATAGGTTACAAATTTGTGCCTCCATCCATGATCCTGTGTAAGGCCTTCCAGAAGGATGATCTCCAAGCTAGCAAGACTGGAGTGTAAACTACTGAAATGTGTTAATTCGTGTAAAGAAAAAAAATCTATCAAGTATCAGAAGGATTTGTTGACTTAGCATATAATCCAAATGACTGACTTAGACTTCAGTGTAAGATGCATACATTTTCCAAAAATATCATTATTAAATATCAATTATTGAACATTCTCTATATGCCAACAATGTATTAAGCACTCTATATACTTTATCTAATTTAATCCTCCCATAAACCCTACAAGATATCTACTATTATTATTATCATCTATTTTACAGATGAGGAATCTAAAGCTTAGTTAGTAAGGCTAGGTATCTCTCCCCAAACCACACATTCAGCAGAGTGCAGATTTAAACTCAGATCTAATTAATCCCAGTATCCACCTTCTGAAGTACATGCTTGCTTTCTTTTTGGGGCAGGTGATCCCTATAAACACATGCATAGTAGAATGACCTTTCCTCCTGGGAACAAGATATTTAATATCTAATGGCTAAGATGCCTACCCTACACTGTGTTTGAATGGACACAGTTCATGTTTACCTTTTGTGTGTATGTGTGTATGAGATTATCTTCTTTCCATCCACAAATCCTTCCTTTTGATAGGTAAAAAAAAGCTCTGATCCAATGATTATTATCTTACAACTAAAATTTTGGAGGCTAATCTTATTTTCCTCATTCCCAGGCTCCTGGGGGTAACCTCATACCTCACAATAGGCCTCACATACTTACTTCAAATCCTCTCAGTTATTAGCGAGGACTCCTGAGAATCACTGATTGCTGGTCATCATGAGCATCTGAACTTCACCAATCCAATTAGCTGCCACATGCTGTCAAAGTCACTTTCTTTTTTTTTTTTTTTTCTGAGACGGAGTCTCGTTCTGTCACTGGGCTGGAGTCCAGTGGCGCGATGTCGGCTCACTGCAACCTCCGCCTCCCTGGTTCAAGCGATTCTCCTGCCTCAGCCTCCCCAGTAACTAGGACTACAGGCGCACACCACCATACCCAGCTAATTTTTGTATTTTTAGTACAGATGAGGTTTCACCACGTTGGCCAGGATGGTCTCAATCTCCTGACCTCGTGATCGGCCCACCTCGACCTCCCAAAGTGCTGGGATTACAGGCATAAGCCACCACGACCAGCCCAAAGTCACTTTCTTAGTGGTTTCATATCTATTTTTTTCCTTTGGTTTCTTACAGTTACAAAGTTCAGGTCATTTGTTGCTTGAAATGGCCTCTTTTACTGGTTTCTCAACTGCCCCAATTTTTTTTTTTTTTTTTTTTTGAGATGGAGTCTCACTTTGTCACCCAGGCTGGAGTGCAGTGACGTGATCTCGGCTCACTGCAACCTCTGCCTCCCAGGTTCAAGCGATTCTCGTGTCTCAGTCTCCTAAGTAGCTGGGACTACAGGCATGTGCCACCATGCCCGGCTAATTTTTTGTATTTTTAGTAGAGACAGGTTTCACTATGTTGGCCAGGCTGGTCTCGAACTCCTGACCTCAGGTGATCCGCCCACCTTGGCCTCCCAAAGTGCTGGGATTACAGCGTGGGCCACCCAACCCAGCCCCCAGTGTTTTATCTCTCAGTCCATTCTTCATGTGGACCAGCCATGGAGACTGAATGTCACCCCTAAGTTCCAATTTCTTTTTTGGCATCTTATAGTCTATGGAATAAAGTCCAAGTTTCTTGTCTTGTTTGTTATTCAGGGACCTCCAAATTCTGACCCTTATCCACTACCCCAGTATCGCCTGTCACCACATTCCTGTATGCTACCCTCTGCTCCTGTCAAACCCCATGAAGAAAAATGTGCAGGACAGAAACCAGGGGGTTAGCACCCGAGACTCCAGGAGAGAACATCCGAATTGGTACAAGAGGAAGAGAGGAAACGCAGAAGAAAGCCAAGATTGGTTGCTGGGAGTTTTAATATGAGACATCAAGAAGACCTCAGCAGGGGAGAAATCAAGGATATAATTATAAATAGTTAGAAGAGGATGGGACATGGAAGAGCAACATCTAAATCCCTACCATGTGCCAGAACCTGCATACCATTTTACCTGTGTTATCTCATTTATTCCTCCCAACAACTCTTTGAAATAGGAATGAATATTTACATTTTACCAATGTAGTGAGAGGCTCAGAGACATTAAGCAACTTGTTCAAGGTCTCATAGATAGTACGTAGCAGAGCCAGGAGACCTACTAAAGCCTAAAATGATGAGGCAAGAGCAATAATGGTAAATTATTTACAAGTCTATCTGACAACTCCAAGGTTAGTAGTTACCTGGCTCAGTGTTTTTAAAAGGTTGCATGCTTCCTCTGGGAAGGAAAGAGAGCAGCAGGCCTGCAACCATTTACTTTACTTTACTAAAGGGCATTCCAGAAAAAAAAGATATAAGACCAGCCAAAACTCCCTGTAAACATGAGCGAACTTCCCTGGCAAATGCACCAGTGGTATTAGGGGAAAAGTTATTAATGGAAAGCCTTTTGCAGGATATACCTGATACGTCTAGGACTGCTTGTAGTCAACAAACCTGGAATCCATGGGCTTATGGGGGCATCGCTCCCCGAAAAATGCCACATAAGCTACAAATATATGAAGTAGCCAAAATAAGCTCTCTTTGGGCTGGTAGCTCTCCCTCAGGTATTGCTCGGAGAACTTACCCATTAAATCTGGGCCATGTGCATTTAGAAAGGACTGGATCTCCTTCTGCTTCATGTGTACTTCATGACTTATATCCTTGAGAATATTTATAAAATTCAATACTGAGTAAGGTCTCCAATTCTTGTGAGTTTTTTGGCCAATGCAATCCTTAGAGATATCTCATATACTTGGCTGTGTTGTGCAGCGTCTTTAGGAAGCACATCTCCAAAAGTAGAATTTAAAATACGGTGCAAGTAGTCTATTTCAGAGGTAATCTCATGAAGCAGGAGTGAGGGAGCAGGGAGAATAGGACAACAAAGGAGGAAAAGGCAATATAAGAATGTACTATCAGTGACAGCACTACAAGTCACAGGGGCTCCATTCCACTGGGACTTCTGAAGACATGTACAGAACAGCCTACAGAATGGACCACCTGAAGGGTGGGAGATGGGAGCACATAATCACTGACTCCCAATCCCCAAGGGTTACGGGCTGCCTTTAGGGGCCTTAACTCCCCAGTATTTCCAAGTTGTATATTGGAACTTGGGTCCATGGGTGAAGTGGGCCTCCACAGCATCAAAGGAGGCTCTAGGGTGCACTTGCACTAACTTGCACCAAACTGTCAAGTGCAGCTGATAGCAGAGGTGGGTCCAGAGGACATGACATGGGACACTGGAGTGGACTGCCACAATGACAATACCAGTATGCTTCCTGCTACTTAAATGTATGACATTCTTTTCTATTTTCATGCCTTTGCTTATGCACTTCCCTTGGAAAGCCCCTTCTCTCTTTATTATGCCAACTGAAATTATATTCATCTATCACAGTTTGAGTTGAAATGCCAGCTCCTCCCTGAAAACTTCTTCGATCTCCAGATTTTAATCACATTTTTTATTGACTTGCTACAGCATGTTTTTTAACTTCTATTACTGAATTTTTTCATTCCCCTTTGTGGTTTTGGTCCATGACTATAGTCCACTTTATGAGCCATGAACTGATGCAAATATGCACATCTTTTCCTTTGTTTTCACAGTTAAATAACATGTAGTCCCATATATTCCAGTTTTGTCACTTGGTAGTAATGTTCTAATTGAGTTTAAAAGGGTTACTAGCGTTTGTTGAACCAGCCTTGCATCCCAGGGATGAAGCCCACTTGATCATGGTGGATAAGCTTTTTGATGTGCTGCTGGATTCGGTTTGCCCGTATTTTATTGAGGATTTTTGCATCGATGTTCATCAGGGATATTGGTCTAAAATTCTCTTTTTTTGTTGTGTCTCTGCCCAGCTTTGGTATCAGGATGATGCTGGCCTCTTAAAATGAGTTAGGGAGGATTCCCTCTTTTTCTATTGATTGGAATAGTTTCAGAAGGAATGGTACCAGCTCCTCTTTGTACCTCTGGTAGAATTCGGCTGTGAATCCTTCTGGTCCTGGACTTTTTTTGGTTGGTAAGCTATTAATTATTGCCTCAATTTCAGAACCTGTTATTGGTCTATTCAGAGATTCAACTTCTTCCTGGTTTAGTCTTGGGAGGGTGTATGTGTCGAGGAATTTATCCATTTCTTCTAGATTTTCTAGTTTATTTGCGTAGAGGTGTTTATAGTATTCTCTGATGGTAGTTTGTATTTCTGTGGGATTGGTGGTGATATCCCCTTTATCATTTTTTATTGTGTCTATTTGATTCTTCTCTCTTCTTTATTAGTCTTGCTAGAGGTCTATCAATTTTGTTGATCTTTTCAAAAAACCAGCTCCTGGATTCATCGATTTTTTGAAGGTTTTTTTTGTCTCTATTTCCTTCAGTTCTGCTCTGATCTTAGTTATTTCTTGCCTTCTGCTGGCTTTTGAATGTGTTTGCTCTTGCTTCTCTAGTTCTTTTAATTGTGATGTTACGGTGTCAATTTTAGATCTTTCCTGCTTTCACTTGTGGGCATTTAGAGCTATAAATTTCCCTCTACACACTGCTTTGAATGCGTCCCAGAGATTCTGGTATGTTGTGTCTTTGTTCTCGTTGGTTTCAAAGAACATCTTTATTTCTGCCTTCATTTCGTTATGTATCCAGTAGTCATTCAGGAGCAGGTTGTTCAGTTTCCATGTAGTTGAGGTTTTGAGTGAGTTTCTTAATCCTGAGTTATAGTTTGATTGCACAATCCAGCATATAAACAGAACCAATGACAAAAACCATATGATTATCTCAATAGATGCAGAAAAGGCCTTTGACAAAATTCAAAAACCCTTCATGCTAAAAACTCTCAATAAAAAATTAGGTTTTGATGGGATGTATCTCAAAATAATAAGAGCTATCTATGACAAACCCACAGCCAGTATCATACTGAATGGGCAAAAACTGGAAGCATTCCCTTTGAAAACTCGCACAAGACAGGGATGCCCTCTCTCACCACTCCTATTCAACATAGTGTTGGAAGTTCTGGCCAGGGCAATTAGGCAGGAGAAGGAAATAAAGGGCATTCAATTAGGAAAAGAGGGAGTCCAGTTGTCCCTGTTTGCAGATGACATGATTGTATATCTAGAAAACCCCATCGTCTCAGCCCAAAATCTCCTTAAGCTGATAGGCAACTTCAGCAAAGTCTCAGGATACAAAATCAATGTGCAAAAATCACAAGCATTCTTATACACCAATAACAGACAAACGGAGAGCCAAATCATGAGTGAACTCCCATTCACAATTGCTTCAAAGAGAAGAAAATACCTAGGATCCAACTTACAAGGACCTCTTCAAGGAGAACTACAAACCACTGCTCAACAAAATAAAAGAGGATACAAACAAATGGAAGAACATTCCATGCTCATGGGTAGGAAGAATCAATATTGTGAAAATGGCCATACTGCCCAAGGTAATTTATATATTCAATGCCAACCCCATCAAGCTACCAATGACTTTCTTCACAGAATTGGAAAAAACTACTTTAAAGTTCATATGGAACCAAAAAAGAGCCTGCATTGCCAAGTCAATCCTAAGCCAAAAGAACAAAGCTGGAGGCATCATGCTACCTGACTTCAAACTACACTACAAGGCTACAGTAACCAAAACAGCATGGTACTGGTATCAAAACAGAGATATAGACCAATGGAACAGAACAGAACTCTCAGAAATAACACCGCATATCTACAACCATCTGATCTTTGACAAACCTGAGAAAAACAAGAAATAGGGAAACGATTCCCTATTTAACAAATGGTGCTGGGAAAACTGGCTAGCCATATGTAGAAAGCTGAAGCTGGATCTCTTCCTTACAGCTCATACAAAAATTAATTCAAGATGGATTAAGGACTTAAATGTTAGACCTAAAACCATAAAAACCCTAGAAGAAAACCTAGGCATTACCATTCAGGACATAGGCATGGGCAAGGACTTCATGTCTAAAACACCAAAAGCAATGGCAACAAAAGCCAAAATTGACAAATGGGATCTAATTAAACTAAAAGCTTCTGCACAGCAAAAGAAACTACCATCAGAGTGAACAGGCAACCTACAAAATGGGAGAAAATTTTTGCAATCTACTCATCTGACAAAGGGCTAATATCCAGAATCTACAATGAACTCAAACAAATTTACAAGAAAAAAACAACCCCATCAACAAGTGGGTGAAGGATATGAACAGACACTTCTCAAAAGAAGACATTTATGCAGCCAAAAGACACATGAAAAAATGCTCATCATCACTGGCCATCAGAGAAATGCAAATCAAAACCACAATGAGATACCATCTCACACCAGTTAGAATGGTGATCATTAAAAAGTTAGAAAACAACAGGTGCTGGAGAGGATGTGGAGAAATAGGAACACTTTTACACTGTTGGTGGGACTGTAAACTAGTTCAACCATTGTGGAAGTCAGTATGGCGATTCCTCAGGGATCTAGGACTAGAAATACCATTTGACCCAGCCATCCCATTACTGGGTATATACCCAAAGGATTAGAAATCATGCTGCTATAAAGACACATGCACACGTATGTTTATTGCAGCACTATTCACAATAGCAAAGACTTGGAGCCAAGCCAAATGTCCAACAATGATAGACTGGATTAAGAAAATGTGGCACATATACACCATGGAATACTATGCAGCCATAAAAAATGAAGAGTTCATGTCATTTGTAGGGACATGGATGAAGCTGGAAACCATCATTCTCAGCAAACTATTGCAGGGACAAAAAACCAAACACCTCATGTTCTCACTCATAGGTGGGAATTGAACAATGAGATCACATGGACACAGGAAGGGGAACATCACACACCGGGGCCTGTTGTGGGGTGGGGGGAGAGGGGAGGGATAACATTAGGAGATACACCTAATGTTAAATGACGAGTTACTGGGTGCAGCACACCAACATGGCACATGTATACATATGTAACAAACCTGCACGTTGTGCACATGTACCCTAAAACTTAAAGTATAATAATAAAAAAAAGGGTTACTAGAATTTGGTGTTCCAAAGCTCACTTTAGAGTTTAGATAAGTTCCTCATGTTAACTTCCACAAAAACGTCTGAGTGCCCCGAAAGGCTGGGCAATTTGCAAAGTTCCTAGTGGACACATATAAAACATGATGGTTAGGGGGTAGGGTAGGGATGGAATTTCTGGAAATTTGGGAGGAAAACCATTTATTACAAATTCATCATCAGCGTTGAGTTCATTGTAGTTTTCAAGTAGTGCTATTCTTAGTTTTCAGTGATACGTTATTACAGTAGTCCCCCTCATCTGTGGTTTCATGTTCCAGTGGTTTCAGTTACTCAGGATCCAAAAATATTAAGTGGAAAATACCAGAAATAAATAATTCATAAGTTTTAAATTGCATGCTGCTCTGAGTAGTGTGATAAAATTTCTCATCATCCTACTCCATCCCACCCTGGATGTGAATTCTCCCTTTTTCCAGTCTCCACACTGTAGATGCCACCCACCTGTTAGTCATTTAGCAGCTGTCTTGGGTGATCAGATTGACTGTCACCGTATTGCAGTGCTTGTATTCAAGTAACCATCATCAACTTGGGTGGCTGTGGATTGTTCATTGAACCCTGTGGAATTCTGGCCTTTAATTTTCTATTAACTAAAACATAAGTGGCTCATAGATGCCTATGTAATCCTCTCTCTATCAATGTCCCAACCTCCTTACTGGAAAGTGGGAATGGGTGGGGTTGCAGGCTATGACATCTTTTATTCTGCTCCAGTGAGTCTTGATTTAAAAAAAAAAGTGTGGGCGTCAGGCTGTTATATATAAACTCTTCTACTAGCCTGTAAGCACCCCAGGGAACTGAGATCACATCCTGCTTATCACAGTACTCTCACAGAGCTAGGTTCAGGGGTTTATAATTAATTAGGAAATATTTGCTAAGTGGCCTTTTTTGAAGCCCTACCAGAGTTACATATTGGCTCATCTTCTTATTGAGCACCTACTTGCTCTCAAGTCTGGACGTAGATACTGGGGATTTCACAGTGAAAAAAACAAGGTCTCCAGCTTGTTCTAATGGAGAAGATAGTAATAAATAAACTAGTCCACATATAGTATGTCAATTCCCAATAAGGACTATGGAATAAAAATAAAGGATGAAAAAGTGATACAGACTGATAGGGGTGGGAAGTATTATTTTAGAAAGGGTAGTTAGGGAAGGCCTCTCACATAAGGCAACGTTTAAGCTGAGTTGAGCGAAGTAGAGGTAGGAACCATGCACACATCTAGGGGAAAAGCATGCAAGACAGAAGACTGTGTGAAAAGCCAAAAGAAAGATTCACTCCTCTGCTATAGTGTATCTTTCAACGTAATCCAACACATTTATTAAGAGGTGGGTCCTCTAGACTGCAAAACTCAATAGGAATCAAATGCTAGGCTCACAGCATGAGGTTTATCTTCACAGAACTCAGATTTTGGTTTGCACAAAATAGTTCTCAGTTAAGTCTAATCATTATGGCTCCGATGTCTGGAAGAATTTCTAAATGATCATGTGCCCAGCTTAAGACAGAGATATTAGGACTAAGCCATCCATATGGTGATGAGGGCTTATGCTACTGTCTTTGCAAAAATAAATATGCAAACCTTCCCCTATCTCATAATCAAGAATAGTTGGCTTTGGGGGGAAAACAAAATCATGTGCAAAGCTTAAATGGTTCTAAAAGCAAGCTGAATTGCTACTTTAAAAAAATTAAAATTAGTCATTCATGAGAGAGAGAATATAAATGCATATGTGTGACTACTTAAAAGCTTCATTACACTTATGTGCTTTTTTGGGGGCAATTTAGTTGCTGCAAGGAGGCTGCTTGTAAAACAGCTCTTCACTTGTAATACAGGCTTGATTTTCACCATCAAAAACCTCCTGTAACCTAACAAAGAAGAAAGAGACAAGTAACACTAGCATTACTCCTCTTGTACTTAAGGATTCATTTTTAAAAAACACCATATATGAGTTAATACATTGTTACATACGTAAGTGAGCATTCACAGCTAAGGGTCAGCAATGTGATAGAAAAAGTAATGAGACTATGTTGAGAGAAAATGGGGTAGTTGACGGGAAAATCAACCTCATTTATAATAATATTCTAGTGATCAGCAGGTTTATAACTCAGCTATGGTCATTAACAGCATTCATTTCAAACTTAACATCTACATTTGCAAACCACTTGAAAGTAAAATTACTTTTCAATTCAATTTTCAATTTGCTTTTAGAGCTTCATCTTTGATTGACAGTTTTTTTCCACAATGGCAGCTCCATGAGAATTTGAGTAAATGGTAGCACCCATCCAAGAGTGTAGATAAACTCATTTATTCAGATTACCTATTCACCTTTCTTCTGTATGTACAATCATTTACAATCATTTGCAAATGCTCACTTCAGGTTAGAGTGAACTTGTAAAACTGATCTCAGACTTCTGATGATTTGATTCATTTATAGAATCATCTGTTCTTTAAGCCAAAATGGTTTTTATTTTTCCTCATCATGACCTAAAAATTACAAAATTAGGATGCACATTTTCAGTGATGGTATCAAATAGCTCTAGGTACAGTTACAAGGAAATAGTGAGATTGCAAAATAGCCTGTTTAAATATGTAAAACGTTTCGATATATATTATATGGCTGTGTACTGAGTTTAACGGCCAATAGAAGATGGTTCTGTGGCCTCCCTTACACATTCATTCTAATGTTGCATGATTAGTATAGGGAATTTCATTCCATTAGTTTTCCCTTCTGCTGAAGTTTAAATTCACTGAAGATTCTTCTGTCTTTAAAAGAGAAGAGAAGCAATTCTGAACCCAAGACACTTTAGTGTGCTTATTAAAATACACTGTAGCTCATTTCTTTTTTTAATGGTTAACATTCTTTACAATGCATATTTTACACCTATGATTTTAAATTAATAACTGGCACTCTTGGAACCTTTCTTTGAATACCATTTGATTCCCTTTTTAAAAACAGCTTTATTTCAGAATTCACCACTATATAATTCATTAAGGTAGCAAAAAACCACTTGTACCCAAAAAACTATTGAAATAAAAACTAAAAAAAAAAAACTTTACTGAGGTATAATTTACATGCCACAAAATTTACCATATTTTGTGTAAAATTCAATGATTTTTAGTATATTTAAGGACTTATGCAACCATCACCAGAGTCCAACTGTAGAACAATCCCATCATCTCAAAAAGATCCCTTAGACCAAGAAGGGCAGAACAAAAGGCTCCACTGATCATCCCCTCTGCAAGTACACCAATTTAACAACTATACACAGAAAAAAACACCTTCATAAGAACCAAAAAATTAGGTGAGCACTCACAGTACCTGGTTTTAACTTCATATTGCTGAAAAAAGCACTAAAGAGGTAGGAAAAACATCTTAAATCACTGATGCCACCCCTCCCCCATGTTCGGTTGTGGCAGCACGGTGCAGACAGTATTTCTGTGTGTCAGGTAGAGGAACAGCCAGCAATTGTGAGGCATTTAACTCAGTGTTGCCTTTGTTATAGAAGAAAGCAAAACCAGACCAAACTCAGCTGATGCCCACCCACAGAGGGAGCATTTAAACCAGCCCTAGCCAGAGGCAAATCACTGATCCCAGCAATTAAAACTTAAGTTCCTGCAAGCCTAGCCACCATGGACTAAAGTGCTCTGGGGCCCCAAATAAACTTCAACAGCAGTCTAGGCCACAAAGTCTGCAACTCCTAGGCAAGTCCTAGTGCTGAACTGGTCTCAGAGGCAGTGAACTGGGGGGGCATGTGACCTCTTGAGACACCAGCTGGAATAGCTAAGGGCATGCTGGTATCACTCCTCTGACCCCAGGCTGCACAGTTTGTAGCTCCTTTTCTTCTGCTTGAGGAAGACTGGGGAGGATTCTGTCTTGCACCTTGGATACCAGCTCAGCAGCAGTAGGATAGGGCAACAGTCAGAGGCATGAGGCCCCCTTTCCAGGCCCTGGCTCCTGGATGACCTTTCTAGACACACTCTGGGCCAGAAGGGAACCCACTGCCTTGGAGGAAAGATTCAGTATGGGCAGGATTCTTCACCAGCTAACTGAAGAGTCCTTTGGCACTGAATAACCAGCAGTGATACCAACATACTACACTGAGGGCCTAAGACTTGCTGACTTCACATGAGAGTCAGTATATTCCCAGTTGTAGTGGCTATGGGGTGAGACTTCTTCTGCTTGAGAAAAATGAAAGGAAAAGTAATGGGATTTCGTCTTGTATCTTAGGTACCAGGTTGGCTACAAGGGGGAAGAGCACCAAGCATGTTCTTGGGGCCCACAATTCCAGGACTTGGCTCTTGGAAGGCATTTCTGAATCTTCCCTAGGCCAGAGGGGAGCCCATTTTCCTGGAGGGTGAGTCCCAGACCAGGCAGCACTCACCACAAGCTGAATAAAGAGCACCTGGGCCTTAAGGGAACATCAGCAGCAGTCTAGCAGTACTCCCAGTGGGCATGAGGTGGCTGTAGCCACAGGGCAAGACACCTCTGCCTTTGGAAAGGGGAGAGAAGAGTGGGAAAGACTACATCTTGTGGTTTGAGTGCCTTCTCAGCTGCAATACAATAGAACACCAGGTAGACAGCTAAGGTTTTTGACTTTAGTCCCTGGCTCCCGGATGGCACCTCTGGACTGGCACAGAACATGGAAGAACTTGCCACCCTGAAGGGAAGGCAATTCACTGGTGCACAAGCTTCTGCACAGCAAAGGAAATATATTAGTCCATTCTCACACTGCTAATAAAGACATACCCAAGACTGGGTAATTTATACAGGAAAGAGGTTTAATTGACTCACAGTTCAGCTTGGGTTGGGAGGCCTCAAGAAACTTACCATCATGGCAGAAGGGGAAGCAGACACATTCTTCTTCACATGGTAGGAGCAAGGGGAACAATGACTGCCCAGCAAAGGGGGAAGCCCCTTATAAAACCATCATATCTCGTGAGAACTCACTATCACGAGAATATGATGGGGGAAACCACACCCATGATCCAACTGTCTCCACCTGGTCCCTCCCACAACACAAGGGGATTATGGGAACTACAATTCAAGAAGAGATTTGGGTGGGGACACAGCCAAACCATATCAGGAAACAATCAACAAACTGAAGGGATAGTCCACAGAACAGGAGAAAATACTTGCAAACTACCCATGTGACAAGGGACTAATAATTAGAATATATAAGGAGCTCAAACAACTCTATAGGAAAACATCTAATTATCTGATTTAAAAATGGGTAAAAGATTTGAACAAACATTTCTCAAAAGAAGATCTACAAATAGCAAACACACATATAAAAATGTGCTCAATATCACTGATCATCAGAGAAACGCAAATCAAAACTATAGTGAGATACCTTCCCCCAGTTCAAATAATTTATATCCAAAAGATAGGCAATAACAAATGCTATCAAGGATGTGGAGAAATGGTAACCCTTGTACACTGTTGGTGGGAATGTAAATTAGTACAGCCACTATGGAGAACAGTTTTGAGGTTCCTCAAAAAACTAAAAATAGAGCTCTCACATGATCCAGCAATCTCACCACTGGGTATATACCTAGAAGAAGGGAAATCAGTATATCAAAGAGATATCTGAACTCCCGTGTATGTTGCAGCACTCTTCACAATAGCCAAGATTTGGAAGCAAACCAAGTGTCCATCAACAGATTAATGGATAAAGACAATGTGGTACTTACATACAATGGAGTATTATTCAGCCATAAAATAGAATGAGATTTAGTCATTTCCAACAATATATGGAATTGGAGGTCATTTATTCAGTAAAAAAAAGCCAAGCACAAGACAAACATTGAATGTTCTGACCTATTTGTGGAATCTGAAAATCAAAACAATTGAACTCATGGAGACAGAGTAGAAGGATAGTTACTAGAGGCTGGGAAGTGTAGCGGGCAGGTGGTGAGGACATGGGAATGGTTAATGATTACCAAAAAAATAGAATGAATGAATAGGACTTAGTATTTGATATCACATAGGGTGACTATAGTCAATAATAATTTAATTGTACATTTAAAAACTAAAAGTATAATTAGATTATTTGTAAAACAAAAGATAATGCTTGAGAGGATAAATAACCTAGTTTCCATGATGTAATTATTACATATTACACATGCCTGTATCAAAACATCTCAGGTACACCATAAATATATATGCCTATTATGCACCCACAAATTTTTTAAAAATTATTTTTAAAAAATCCCTTATGCTTGTTTGCAGACCACCTCTACTCAAACTCCCAGCCCCAGACAATACCAATCTGGTTTTGGTCTCTAAATTCACCTTTTCTGGATATTTCATATAAACGTAAAAAAATATATAAAATATTTTGCATCTGGCTTCTTTCACTTAGCATAACGTTTTAAGATTCATTCATATTGCAGAATGTATGGTAACTTTTTATTACAGAATAGTATTCTACTATATGGATGTATCACATTTTGTTGATCTATTCACCAAATGAGTTGATGGAACTGCAGGCTGTTTCCACGTTTGGCCAACCTGAATGATGCTGCTATGAGTATTCATGTTCAACTCTTTATGTGGACACGTTTTCACTGTTCATAGGTACATATCAGGAAAAGTGGCTGTGCTGTTTCATATTCCATCAGCAAAGTATGAGAGTTTCATTCTCTTCACATCCTCACCAACACCTGATATTATATTTTTGATCACAGCCATTATAGTGGGTGTGAGGTATTATCTCATTATGGCTTTAATTTACATTTCTTCAATGATACATAGTATTGAAAATACTGTCATGTGGTTTTTAGCCCTTTGTCTTTTTTTTCTGTGAAATGCCTATTCAAACCTTTTACCAAATTTTAAACTGGATGATATATTTTCATATTATTAATTGTAATTGTAAAAATTTTAAAATATTTTGTGTACAAGAACTTTATCATACATATGATTTGCAAATATTTTCACCAGTCTGTGGTTTGTCTTCATTTACTTATGTCTTTTGAAACACAACATTTTAAAATGTTGATAATGTCCAATTTATCATTTTTTTCTTATACTAATCATATTTTAGTATTATATCTACAAACCCCTTCACTAACCCAGGGTCATAAATATTTCCTTCTATTTTCTTCTAGAAGTTTTATAATTTTAACTCTAACATTTATTTTTTTCTCTTTTTTGAGATGGAGTTTCACTCTCGTTGCCCAGGCTGGAGTGCAATGGTGCCATCTCCGCTCACTGCAACCTCCGCCTCCCCAGTTTAAGCAATTCTCCTGCCTCAGCCTCCCAAATAGCTGGGATTACAGGCATGTGCCACCATGCCCGGCTAATTTTGTATTTTTAGTAGGGACAGGGTTTCACCATGTTGGTCAGGCTGGTCTTGAACTCCTGACCTTAGGTCATACACCTGCCTCAGCCTCCCAAAGTGTTGGGATTACAGGCGTAAGCCACTGCGTCTGGCCAAAGTCTTATATTTGAGTCCAAAATCCATTTGAGTTTATTTTTGTTTACAGTGTGAGGCAAGGTTCTAAAATAAGTTTTATATATGTGACTATCCAAAGGTCTCAGCACTATTTGTTGAAAAAAACCTAGTCTTCTGCCCATTAAATTGCTTTAGCACTTCTGTCAAAAATCAACTGGCCATAAATGTAAGGATTTGTTTCTTGACTGTCATGCTGCTGCATTGATCTACATGTCCTCTTCATGCCAGTAACATACTAACTTGATTACTGTAGCTTTACAGTAAATTCTGGAATCACTAATTGTAATTTTGCCACCTTTGTTGTTCTTTTATAAAATTATTTTACCTTTGAATTCCATATAAATTTTAGAATCAGCTCATCAATTTCGACAAAAACAACAAGTGCTCACTGGGATTTTTCCTATCAAAAAAGTCTAATGAATTTGCAGAAGATTGTCATCTTAACAATACTGAATCTTCCAAATCAATGTCTCTGCATTTATTTAGATGTTTAATTTCTCTCAGCAGTGTTCTGTAATTTTCAGCATACAAATCTTGCACTACCTTTGTTAAATTTTCTGGTTTTTTTTCTTGATTCAGTTGTGATAAGCTTCTGCCTTTCAAGGAATTTTTCCATGTCAACCAAATTGTCTATGGAGTTGGCATAAAGTTGTTCACAGTATTCTCTTATCGTTTTAATTTCTAAAGGGTTATGAGCAGTGTTCTCCTGTTTCACTGATTTTGGTCATTTGTGTCTCCTCTCTTATTTTCTTAGACAGTTTAACAAAAGGTTTGTAAATTTTGTCCATCTATTCCTAGGCCGGGCGTGGTGGCTCATGCCTGTAATCCCAGCACTTTGGGAGGCCGAGGTGGGTGGATCACCTGAGGTCGGGAGTTCGGGACTAGCCTGACCAACATGGAGAAACCCCATCTCTACTGAAAATACAAAATTAGCCGGGCGTGGTGGTGCATGCCTGTAATCCCAGCTACTCAGGAGGCTGAGGCAGAAGAATCGCTTGAATTCAGGAGACGGAGGTTGCAGTGAGCCGAGATCACACCACTGCACTCCAGCCTGGGTGACACAGCAAGACTCTGTCTCAAAAAAAAAAAAAAAAATTCCTATTTTATTTTTTTGATGATGTTATTGTTACTGGGATTGGAATTGTTTTCTTAATTTCATTTTTCAATTGCTCTTTGGTAGTAGAAATGCAATCATTTCTGCATATATTGACTTTCATATTCTGCAACTTTGCTGAACTTGTTCATTCATTTTAGTAGTTTAAAAAATGCATTACATTGGATTTCCTATGGACACATGTTTATGATTAAAGACAGCTTTCCTTTTTCCTTTGCAATAAGGATGACTTATAATATTTATTTTTCTTGTCTTATTTCATTATACTAGAATACAATGGTAAATATAAATAATGAATGAAGTCATCCTTGTTTTGTTCCTAATCTTAGAGAGACAGCATTCAGTCTTTCATTTAGTATGATAAGCTATATGTTTTTCATAGTTTTCCTTCTTATCCTAGTTTGTGGAAAGTTTTCATCAGAAATGGATGTTAGATTTTGTTATATGCTTTATCTGTCCCTATTATGGTGATTATGTGTTTCTTGTTCTTCATTCTACTAACAGGGCATACTACGTTAATTAATTTTTGGATATAGACCCAACCTTTCATTACTGGGATAAATCCCACTTGGCCGTGGTATATAATCATTTTTGTATGTTTCTAGATTTTGTTTTCTAATATTTTTGTTGAAGGTTTTTATATGTGTATTTATGAAGAATATTAGTCTGCAGTTTTCTTGTGATGTCTTCATTGTCTTTGGTATCAGGATAATAGCGGTCTCATAATGAATAAAACTGTGCCTTGGCCAGGTGCGGTGGCTCACGCCTGTAATCCCAGCACTTTGGGAGGCCAAGGTGGGTGGATTACCTGAGGTCAGGAGTTTGAGACAAGCCTGGCCAACATGGTGAAACCCCGTCTCTACTAAAAGTACAAAAATTAGCCTGATGTGGTGGCGGGTGTCTATAATCCCAGCTACTTGGGAGGCTGAGGCAGGTGAATTGCTTGAACCCAGGAGGCAGAGGTTGCAGTGAGCGAAGATCACGCCACTGCACTCCAGCCTGGGCAACAAGAACAAGACTGTCTCAAAAAAACAAAAACAAAAACAAAAACTGTGCCTGTCCTTTTCTATTTTCTGAAATATTTGACATTTGATATATTTCAACAGCAAAGTAACCTGGGCTAGAATTTTTCTTGGTGGGAAGATTTTTAAATTATTAACTCAATTTCTTTACTTGTTATATGTCTATTGAAATTTTCTGTTTTTTTTTTCTTGATTCAGTTGTGATAAGTTTCTACCTTTCAAGGAATTTTTCCATGTCAACCAAATTGTCTATGGAGTTGGCATAAAGTTGTTCACAGTATTCTCTTATCATTTTAATTTCTAAAGGGTTATGAGCAGTGTTCTCCTGTTTTACTGATTTTGGTCATTTGTGTCTCCTCTCTTATTTTCTTGGACAGTTTAACAAAAGGTTTGTAAGTTTTGTCCATCTTTTCAAAGAACCAACTTTGGTTTCATTGATTTACTGTTCTGTTTTTACTCTTTTCTGATCTGTGATTTCTACTCCAGTATTTTCCTTCTGCTTTCTTTGCATTTAGTTTGCTGTTCTCTTTCTAGTTTCTTAGGGTGGAAACTTAGGTTATTGATTTGGGAATCTTTTTTCTTTCTTAACATATGAATTTACAGCTCCAAGTTTCCCTTTAACCACTACTTTGGCTACATTTCATACATTTTGGTATGCTGCATTTTCGTTTTCCTTCAGTTCTGATCTTTAAAGTATTTTCCTTATTATTCATCCTTTGACTCATTGGCTATTAAGACACACACTATTTAATTTATAAGTATGTGAGGATTTCCTCAATTTTTTATCTCATGTTTATTTTTAATTTAATTCCTTTATGGTCAGATAACATACTTTGTATAATTTCAATCATTTTAAATTTATTGAAACTCGTTTCATGGCCTAGCATTAAGACTTCTCCCAGAGAAAATTCCATGTGCACTGAAAGAGAATCTGTATTCTGAGATTTGTGACCACAAATTCTCTGTTCAGTATTTTTGTTATTACTTTACTTTTAAGCCTGGCTTCCTAGGGGTCACTGCTGTGTTAGCATTGCTTGGTGGTCACCAACAATTGGTCAGAGGCTGTGCTCAAACACTTTGTACTAGTAAAGCTTCTACCCTTGCTGATGGATCTATGCATCGATTATGGGACAATTCAAAGCTCAGGCCGTGAACGAGCCTGGCCCAGCTTTTACTCTCTGCTAGGCCCTCTTGTGTCTCCTCTGTAACTGCACAAGGCCTGTCATTTAACCAGAAATGTGTTGATAGCAAAGGCTCTTTTCAGTCTCTCCAGAATGTGAGCACGTAGCTTCCTGACCCCCAGGGATACGCAGGTACTTATTAAAGCTCAGTATGGCTGACTCCTTCCCTGGAGTGGCTAACATGCCAGTCTACTGCTTGCCCCAACCAGGATCTCAAACTCAGGCCAGCTGTGATGTTGGCCTTTTCTATTCATATACCACCAACATTGCTAAGGTTTCAACACAGGCAGAGTCATGGGGTATTTCCACTGTGCTCCAAATCAAGTCAGCTCGCTCTGGCAATGGAGCTGCTGATTTTCATTGACTGTACTGACAGAGCTGGGGAAAAAAAGGAGGGACTGCAGCAGCCCCAGACAAAGTTGCCACAGGCTTTCATACTTCTTCTCAAGGTTCAGTAGTTTGTGTGTGTGTGTGTGTGTGTGTGTGTGTGTGTGTGTGTGTGTGTGTGTGTTTTAATAAATGCTTCCTAATTTGTTGTAAGAGTTGATGTCCATAGTCCTGAAATGGTTATTATTGACTATTTTGTCCAGTTTTACTATTGCTTTTTTGGAAGATAATTTGCTGAGTTCCTTACTCTACCATTTTGTAATTCCTGCCACCTCTCATTTTAACCTCTGTCTTATTTTCCAGTCTTTTGCTCAAATCACAAGAATACTTGTGATCACAGCATGATCAAGTAAAACATGTCATTGTCAATTATCCTGAAATCAAGGATGAATGTGGCCCTACTACCCTTGGGAAAGATAATAAACTAAAAATGATTTTTATATATTCCCTTAAAGACCCATTAGATGGTAACAGAGAAGCCTCAAAATAAGAACCACTGTTTTTTTAATCCCCCTTCCAGAATTTTTAAGATACTTTCATTATTCATAAAAAGTAATGTATGCTCATTTTGGAAAATCTGGAAAACATGGAAAAGAGGAAAGAAAGATTAAATACCTAAAAATCATCCAAATCCTATGTAAACTAAAAATAAAATCCTAAGCCCCAGAACTGATTGAACAGATTACCTCTTGGCCAAGGGGACCCCAAACTGAGTTTACAGCCATGACAGGACAGGAGGTCAGACACACCTCACTATAACCCCTCCCTTTTGCAGTTTACACACAACTGACCAGCATTTATGTTAAAATAGAAGTTATAAGACTGAAAGAACAGACTCTGTGGCAATAAGATACCAAATTATAGACAGGACCTAAGGCCATCTAGGCAAGGGTTAAGTTATGCACTATTACACTTAAAGAATGAACTCTGTTCTAGCTGTCACAAGGTTTTTCTTTTTCTCTAGCAGTTAAACAAGCACTGGCCTTGTGATAAGCAATACTGAAGCAGCTGCAGCTTGCCAACCACCAGACACTTTCTGAGTTCCTTATTCCAGATGTCATAACTATAGCTTCAATCGGACAAGAGACTGATTTCAATAACCTTCTCCTGTTAAGAAGACTACCCACTATGGACTGGTTCTGGCCAGTTTAGGGAGGCTGGTCACTCAAATGCCTTCATGTCCTGAAAAGACCTTTTGAGGTACAGGGCCTAACTGTAATACATTTGAATGTTAAGTCTCCACCCCAAGGTGGGCATGTAACGTGTATGTTTCCTTATCACTCATGCACACAACCCTTTTCATGAATATTCATAGCTCCCCCTATATCTTGTTGAATATGTATATTTGGTTAACCTGGTCCACTTAAATTCCTATCTTATCCCTTCCTTCCTCGAAGTGCTTGCTTTGGGTTTTAAGCTGGAAACAATGCTCTCGCCTGTGGCTTGTAATCCCCTTTTTAAGAAATAAAGTTCTCTTTTCTAGACTTATAAATGCTGTGATTTTTAAGTTAACACCTACCACTTACTAATAATAATTTGAACTACTTATTTACATATTTTTGGTTTTGTGTGTACATCAAATTGCACACACATTTTTGTATTATGCATTCATGACAAAATATTTCTAACCTAAAACGGAACCATAATTAACATAGCTCCTATTAGATTTTGGTGATTACATCATTGTATACTGATTTTTGCAGGTATTTCTATTTTCTAAAGATAGGTTGCTGGATGTAGACTTGCCTGTCCAAATGATATGGACAGTCTAACACAATAGTGGACACTTGAAACCACTACTGAAATATTTTCTAAAAAGGTTCTGCCCAACCTACTACTCACATACTCACATCTTTGGAATTTAATTCATTTTCATTTTCATTTCTTTGCTTACCAAGGTTTGCATTTATTTGTGTTTCATATGCTCTTTATCTGTGAAATTTGTCTTCATACCTCTACCATTTCATTTAAAAGGGTCACAGTGGTTCTTCCTGTCCAGGGCCCTGCAACAACCATCCAGCGAGGTTGGCATTATGAGCTGAGCTGCTATTTTACAAATAAAGACACCAAGGCTCGAAGGTGTTAAGTTGCTGAATGTCATAAACCCAGTAAATGGTGGGAATGGGTTTCAAACCTAGATTTTACCACTCTAAAAGTTTATGTTTTTGCCATTATATTTCTTTCCATAGGTGAAGTAATCTAAAATAATAAAATGATTTGTTTACTTCTCTGATTTTAAAAGAGTGAAAAACATGAGCATTTGGGGATAAGTGGAAGCATAAAACCTCCTTGTAATTATGGCATTTAAACAGTATTATACCTCAATAAATCTTTTTTTTAAATTGTTCAAAGTTCAGGCTAAAGTTTAGGTTCTGGAGACAAGGGTATTAGGTACCAATCTCAGATGTGCCACATCCTAGCATTTAATCTGGGACAATTTACTTATCCTGTCTGAGCTTTACATAGTTGTAAATGAGGACAATAATAATAATATTTATTTCATATAGATAAAAGAATTAAAACTTTTTAAAATAATTTAATTCCTGCCATACAGTAAATGCTCAAATGTTATCTGTATAGCTAAATGAATTACATTAACTTTCACAATTATTAAAATAATGTTTCTAAATGTATTTCAAATAGACTCCTATACATAAAGTAGAATTAGTTTACTTGATTGATAGAACATAAGATACTGTAACAAGCTGATGTACAACATTCAAAAAAGAGTTACGTGGCATAGATGAAGAAGCACTTGGTGTTAGCTATTACTGAATGTTATTGTATGCCTGTGAAAATGGTAGAGAAAAGACCTCTGAACATTTTTGCTCCATAAAAGCAGTGAGAACACTGACAAAAATGGTCAGGATCAACTTTTCAAAACACTGGAAATTAACCAAAGGATTGCATCAGTCTGGGAAGTATTCAAGAAAAACGGCTGAGTATCAGTAAAGTACAGGGCCTTGGGGCTGGCAAGGCCGGGGCTCCCATCCTACTTTGTCCCTTCCTAAATGTGCTCATGTGGTCCTGCCACACACAAGCTTGACAGGTTCCTTCCTGAGCATCCCTTACAGCTTTCTCCATGCCTTCCCTGACCTTTGTCCCAGAAGTGACCCTTAAAGCCAGGGAATGGCCCTTGTTTTCTAAGAACAGAGGCAGAGAGGAGGTCTTGGCTGGGGCCAGACCACTATGTCCTTATTTGACCCTGTAATTCCACTCCCTCCTGAAACGTGTCCCTACGTCAGGCTTGGCCTGAAGTAAATACTAAGAAATAAATACTGAGAAATAAATTTAACAAAAGAAGTGCAAAACATATACATTGAAAACTACAAAATATCATTGAAATATACATATGTGTATATATATATATATACACATATGTGTGTGTGTGTGTATATATATAAATATATATATATATTTTTTTTAGACAGAGTCTCACTCTGTAGCTCAGGCTGGAGTGCAATGGTATGATCTCAGCTCACTATAACCTCAGCCTCCCGGGTTCAAGCGATTCTCCTACCTCAGCCTCCCGAGTAGCTGGGATCACAGGTGCCCACCACCATGCCTGGCTAATTTTTTGTATTTTTAGTAGAGACGGGGTTTCAGCATGTTGGCCAGCCTGGTCTCAAACTTCTGACCTCAGGTGATCCACCTGCCTCAGCCTCCCAGGATGCTGCGATTACAGGCGTGAGCCATCGCAACTGGCTGAAAAATATATTTTTTAAAAAATGAAATAAATAGAAAGATATGCCATGTTAATGGACTGGAAGACAATATTTTTAAGATGGCAATATTCCTACATTGTTAAAATGACAATACCCCCCACTCCACAAATGATCTACAGATTTAATCTATCCCTATCAGAATCCGAGCTGACTTCTTTGAGAAACTGACAAGCTGATTCTAAAATATGGAAATGCAAAGGACCCAGAGCAATCTTGAAAAGCATGAACAAAGTTGGAGGACTCCCATTTCCCGATTTAAAACTTATCACAAAGCTATAGTAAACATGACAGTGTGGTATCAGCATAATGACAGGCATATAAATCAGTGGAAAAAAATTGAAAGTTTAGAAATAAAACTACATTCAGAAATAAAACTACAGATAATTGAGTTCTAACAAGGGCACCAAGACAATTTAATGGGGGAAAGAATAGTCTTTTTACAGTGCTACTGAAACAACTGAATATCCACATGCAAAAGAAAAAAATTTGATCCCCATCTCACATCATATACACAAATTAACTCAAAATGGATCAAAGGCCTACATTTAAGAGCTAAAACTATACATCTCTTAGAATAAAATAAGTGAAAATCTTCATGCCCTCAGGATAGGTAGTAGTTTCTTAGATAGGATGGCCAAAGCACAAGCAATAAAAGAAAAAATAAACTAGACTTCATAAAAATTAAAAACTTTTGTCCTCAAAGGATGCTATCAAGAAAGTAAGAAGACAACCCATAGAATGGGAGGAAATTTTTACAAATCATATATCTGATAAGGGTATAGTACATAGAATAGATTTAAAAACTCATATGAATCAACAACGAAAAGATAATCCAATTAAAAATGGGCAAATAATTTATTTTTAATTTTTGAACTTCTATTTTAGGTTTAGGGGTACATGTGAAGGTTTGTTACATAGGTAAACTCATGTCATGGGGGTTTGTTGTACAGATTATTTCATCACCCAGGTGTTAAGCCCAGTACCCAATAGTTATCTTTTCTGCTCCTCTCCCTCCTCCCACCCTCCACCCTCAAGTAGACCCCAGTGTCTGTTGTTTCCTTCTTTGTGTTCATAAGGTCTCATTATTTAGCTCCCACTTATAAGTGAGAACATGCAGCATTTAGTTTTCTGTTCCTGTGATAGTCTGCTAAAGATAATAGCCTCCAGCTCCATCCATATTCCTGCAAAAGACATGATCTTGTTCTTTTTTATGGCTGCATAGTATTCCATGTAGTATATGTACCACATTTTCTTCATCCAGTCAGTCACTGATGGGCATTTAGGTTGATTTCATGTCTTTGCTATTGTGAATAGTGCTGCCATGAACATTCACGTGCATGTGCCTTTATGGTAGGATGATTTGTATTCCTTTGGATATATACCCAGAAATGGGATTGCTGGGTCAAATGGTAGTTCTGCTTTTAGCTCTTTGAGGAATCACCATACTGCTTTCCACAATGGTTGAACTAATTTACATTCCCATCAACAGTGTATAAGTGTTCCCTTTTCTCCACAACCTTGCCAGCATGTTACTTTTTTTACTTTTTAACAATAGCCATTCTGAGTGGTGTGAGATGGTATCTCATTGTGGTTTTTATCTGCATTTCTCTAATAATCAGTTGATATTGAGCTTTTTTTCATATGTTTATTGGCTACATGTATGTCTTCTTTTGAGATGTGTCTCTTCATGTCCTTTGCCCACACTTTAATGGGGTTGTTTTTCTCTTGTAAATTTGTTTAAGTTCCTTATATATTCTGGATATAAGACCTTTGTCAGATGCATTGTTTGTAAATATTTTCTCCCATTCTGTAGGTTGTCTGCTCACCCTGCTGATAGTTTCTTTCACTGTGCAGAAGCTCTTAAGGTTAATTAGATCCACTTGTCAATTTTTGCTTCTGTTGCAATTGCTTTTGGTGTCTTTGTCATGAAATCTTTGCCCGTTCCTATATCCAGGATAATATTGCCTAGGTTGTTTTTCAGGGCTTTTATAGTTTTGGGATTTACATTTAAGTGTTTAATCCATTTTGAGTTGGTTTCTGTATATGGTGTAAGGAAGGGGTTCAGCTTCAATCTGTTCCAAATGGCTAGCTAGTTATTCTAGCACCATTTATTGAATACAAAGTCTTTTCCCCATTCCTTGATTTTGTCAGCTTTGTTGAAGATCAGATGGCTGTAGATGTGTGGCCTTATTTCTAGGCTCTCTATTCTCCTCCACTGGTCTGTGTGCCTGTTTTTGTACCAGTACCATGCGTTTTGGTTACTGTAGCCCTGTAGTATAGTTGATGTCAGGTAACATGATGCCTGCAGCTTTGTTCTTCTTGCTTAGTATGGGCAAATAATTTAAATAGAAATTTCTTCAAGAAGGTATACAAATGGCCAATAAGCAAATGGAAAGATGCTCAACATTATTAATCAACAGTGAAATGTAAATCAAAACCATGAGATACCATTTCGCACCCACTGGGATGGGTATAATAAAAAAAGACTAACAATAATATGTCTTGATGAGGATGTGGAGAAATGAGAATCCTCATCATTGCTGATGGGAATATTAAACGATACAGCCTCTTTGGAAACAGTTTCAAATACGTAAAGTTCCATATGACCCAGCAATTTCACTCGTAGGTGAGCTCCAAGAGGATTGAAAACATATGTCCACACACAAACTGGTATATGAATTGTTCATAGCAGCATTATTAATAATAGCCAAAATGGAAACAACCCAAATGTCCATCAACTGATAAGTTAACTAATAAAATATGGTATATCCATACAATGTATTATTCTTCAGGCCTAAAAAGGAATAAATCACTAATATCCATGTTGTGTCTTTCATAGCAATAGAATGGAAACAATAGTTCTTATTCTTATCTATTCCACTCTACAATATGGATAAACCTTGAAAACATTATGCTAAGTGAAAGAAGCCAGACACAAAAGACCACATATAGTATGGTTCCACTTACATGAAGTATTTGAAATAGGCAAATCTAGAGAGACAGAGAGAAAGGGCTAAGGGTAGCAGGGAGTGGAGAGTACCTGCTAATGGGTACAGGTACTTTTCAGGGTGATGAAAACATTCAAAAATTACATAGTGGTGGTGGTTTCATAACTGTGAATTATACTAAAAATGACAGAATCATCCACTTTAAAAGGATAAATTTTATGATATGTGGATTATAACTGAATTTAAAAAAGCTATTACTAGTTTAGTCATTTATTGATGATGAGACTTTGGGTAAATGGAATTTTAGGAGAAAGGTATAGATAAAATGAGAACTACTATTTTTATTCCATTACTATGAAACACACTAGTTTCTTGGTGATGTCCTGAAATGTTAGTCATTGTGGGTTGAACTGTGTCCCCCACAAAGATATGTTCAAGTCCTAACCCTGGTACATGTGATTGTGACCTTATTTGTGAATAAGGTATTTGTAGATGTAATCAAATTAACATGAAGTCAGAATGGATTAGAGTGGGCTTAAATCCAATGACTGGTGTCTTTATAAATAGGGGGAAATCTGAACAAAGACAGACGGAGAGGATGCTGTGCGACAATGGAAGCAGAGATTGGAGTGATACACCTACAAACAAAGGAATCCGAAAGACTGCTGGCAATTGCCAGAGACTAGGACAGAGGGATGGTACAGATTCTCCCTCAGTGCCTCCAGAAGGAACCAATCCTGCCGAAACCTTGATTTTGGACTTTCAGCTTCCAGAAACAGTAAATATACATTGTTTTAAGCTATCCAGTTTGTGGTGACTTGTTATGGCAGCCCTCAGAAACCAATACAGTAATTTCCACATCATCAGTCTTGAAGAAAAAGGTTATAGGAACAGGAGTCAACCTCTTGGAGTTTCAATTTCCTCCCCTATAAATTGGGAATAATAACATCTGTCCTTCCATTGTACTGAGAAAATGATCATAAAAATACTAAGAAACTGATTTATAAATGCAGGGTATTACTCTTTCGGATGTATGCTTCTAATTGCTTTGTCAGCTCTAATTTATTGCGTTGTTCTCTTTCCCTTTCTTTAAGATCATCTATTTTCAAGTAACATTTGCCTTCCTTGGAGAAGTTACTGTTTGGGTGTTAAGTTGCTTATTTAAAAAATAACCATCTCTAGCATAAAAGTGAGAATTCAAATTATACATCTGTAACACCACCCACTCTCCTAACCTCCCAAGCATACACTTTGCCATAAATTGACAACAAATTCACCCTTCATTTTAGGAGATATCAAGCACTGTAACCTTTTGTTAATACACAGATGTAGGACATTGCTTGTTCCAGCTAATTGACTATTCTGTTGAGCCTAACAGTACCATCACAAACGATCACTTTCTGAAGCTTACCATAAAGAAGATATTTGGCACTGAAAGTACGTTTTTCACAAATCACAAATCAGTTAAGGATTCACAATTATCAACACAAACTATGATTATAAGATATTTCCAATTATTTATAGTCTTGAAAACTTTTTTTTAAAGTTTAAAATAAATTGCGCACCAATCAAAATTTGACAGTATCCAACAAGAGGAAAATCTGTCAAATGTTTTAAAATATCTCCGACATTCACTCTTTAGATCTTTCTATCCTTCCTCACCTATGCTCTCCAGAATGTATCACTATAATTGCAGAAGATTTTTATTCCTTAGGCAATATATACATTCTCTTTTTCATTTTTACACGAAAATCTCACACATATTTAAATAGAGGACATTTCACAGGTACACAAAGATACACACATGGATATTCATGGTAACACTAATAGCAAAACAGAGGGAAAACTTGGAGGTCCACCATAAGGATCTAGATAAATAGGTTATGTTCTAGCCATGCAATGGTATATATAGCGCTATTAAAAAGAGTGAGACAGATTTAGTAGTATGGAAATCGTCTCAAGGCAGGTAACAGAGAAAGCCCCACTGTCACTACCAAACCAAATGCCAAAAAGTGTGAATGGTATGATTCCACTTGTGGGAAAAAGGACTGTAATATCATACACACGCACACATACACACACACACACACACACACACACACAATTAAGCTCTAGAGGTACTCCCAAAAAATCCTGCTAAAAACAATTACCTTTGGAAAATGACTCCAAACTTTCTTATTATAGGTGTGGATTACTTTAATTCTGTATGCAATTTTAAAATGGCAGAGTTTTAGAGCATAAGAAAAAAGCAATGATTAGTGGTTAACTATTTATTTGAAATAAAATAAATATGCGAAAACAATATTTGGTTTTAATAAAGAATATAAAAAAAGTTCCTTTATAATCTGGGATCTCAAAAAAGACATTACACAACATATTATAGGTAGCACAAAGGAACTGCAGATAGGGGCGTTCTGCTAGGCTCATACCCATGAGGGGAATCAATAGACTATCCTTCAAGGTTAGAACACAACAATTTACTTATAGTGGTTTATTGAGTACTTAGTTCAATATGAGTGGACATTTTGTCAATAGCATTCTAATAGATGCTACAGATGACAGCTCAATGCTATAATATAAAAGCTGGAAGGCCATATAATAAAATCTATAGGTCCCTGGAGTCAGAGGATGATCATTTGTAGAGGACCTGAAGAAAAACACCAAGAAATGTCTTCTTGCAGGGCTTAATGATGGTTTTGGTTATTATGGATTGCATTAGTGAAATACACTGGTGCCATTTTTATATATTCTTTTATCTTATAAAATTCTAGTAAATGAAAGGTGAAATTAGAAAGCTTTTCTTCTAATTTGAATTAGGCTGGAAGCTTATCAATGTAAACACATTTCCCAATTAAGTTAGACAATATGCAGAACTCACCACCTGGGCATAATCCTGTTGGTTCAAAATAAGAGACTGTAATGAGGAGGTAAATTAACTCACTCAGTTCTATACTCAATTTGTAAGTTTCCAGAACAAAGCTAAAGTGTTTACACGAGTTATATTTGTGCCAATGTTCAAAGCATAAGTAAGGCAGTATTCCTAGAAGGCACAGTCTATTAGTCTTTTAAAAAATATGTTCAACTAGATATCACGTTCATTTTATGGGGAGAAGTATAATACAGTACACAGCATTTTCACATTTGATTTCTGAAGCATCCCTTATTTTCATTTTCCTTTTCTCTAAAACTGGATTTACATATTATTTAAACAATATTTGGGGATGAATTAAAATATGCATTCAAATTGTTTCTAAGGTTGATTAAATGTTAGCAGCTCCCAGGCTCTCTTTTTAATTTTTTAGAAATTCTTTTCCATGGGGATTATGTCCATTCTCACCCGAGTTTTAAATGTTTTTTATATGTTCATAACTCAATCTAGATATTCAGCCCTAACTCATTCCTTGAACTCCAAACTGTTTAATTGAATCTCTTCCTGGATATTTCACAGATATTTCAAATGAAACCCACCAAAGACAAAGAATCCTTAATTCCTTACCAACACCACCTCCCAATGGCTCAAATCATTAACTTAAGTCATGCTTGACTCACATTTCTGTGCTAAAAGTTTATCAGTTACATGTTGAATCCACTCATTTCTCTTTCTCCTATACTATCACTCTTGCCCAGGCACCACACAGTTCCTGGCTTCACAGCCTTCTAGCTGGTCTCCCTGCTTCCATTCTTACTCCTCTAGTCAATACCCTCAAGAGCATCCAGGATGACCATCTTACATGGGGATCAGATTATCTCACCGTATTTCATTGGCCTCACACTGCTCTGAGAATGGAATCTAAATTCCTAGCTAAAAAGGACTAGAAATTATCCTGCCTCACTCACCAGGTGTCATTCTCTATAGTCAGAGACTCAAAGGAAACAGAATTCATCCCACATAGTTAAAATGAAGAGACTATCATGAAACAATTCCTTACACAGGTGTGGGCAAGGTTGAGGAAACAAAGGGATGGTTAGGCACCCCCAAAATAGAAACAATGGGCAGCCTTTACCATTCCTAGGTATAAAGGGGCAAGGGAAGGAACTAGAGTCAGAGCAATTGGATCCTTATAGAAAGGGTCATCAGTAGGAAGTCCAAAGCAAAAAAAGAGGGAAGGAATACCCTGGCTTCTCTCTCATCCTGTCTTCTGATCTCTTGCTGGTACTTCTCACTGGCTGGGAGGCTTGAGGAAATCAAAAGCCTGAGGTCAAGGGAGTCTGGGTGATTCATATGGTATGACGTAGGAGGACAGGAGCGGGCTACCTCCCAGGACACAGAGCAAGTGAGAGAATGGCAGGGAACAGATCTAGAGGGGTGGAAGGGAGGATTTTTCTTTTTGTTTTGGGGGTACATGTGAAAGTTTGTTACATGGGTGAGTTGCGTGTCACTGAAGTTTGGTGTACAAATGATCTTGTCACCTAGGTAGTGAGCATAGTACCTACCTAACATGTAGTTTTTCAACCCTCGCCGTCCTCCCACCTTCCCCCTACTAGTAGTCCTCAGTGTCTTTTGTTCCCCTCTTTGTGTCTGTGTGTACTCAATGTTTAGCTCCCACTTTAAGTGAGAATATGTGGTATTTGGTTTTCTGTTCTGGTGTTAATTCACTTAGGAAAATGGACCCCAGCTGCATCCATGTTGCTGCAAAGGACATGGTTTTGTTCTTTTTTATGGCTACATAGTATTCCATGGTATATATGTTATATGTACCACATTGTAGGATGAGTGCACCTGATAGCATAATTTAAGCATACCCTTAGAATGATCCTGTATGGCAGATGCACCTGAATATGTGTTCAGAGCTAGGGAATCCTGGAATGGCCAACCTGAAGATTCATTCCTTATCTATGATAAACATTTAAATGCCCGTCCCATCCCATGGAACATAGGCTGTACAGGGGATTGGGGCCTCGAATTCTGGGTTAAATGAAGGTTTCCAGGTGGAGGTTGTTAGGGGGAGGGTGGTTAGTGAAAATGCTACATAAATTCCATGCCATTTGCAAGTGGTCCTGGTTCTCTTGCCCAGCCCACTGCTACTGGGCCAGGTGAATATGTTATCCAGCCCGCCACCACTGGACTGTTTATGTATGTTAGGCAGTTCTCCTGTCCAGCCCACCACCACTGGACACTCTCCTCTGTATGGAAGCACCGAATAAAACCCCATGTCTCCTTTGCTGGCTATTGGTCTCTTCTTCGGCCTCTTGAACCTGGTGCCTTCCCTACTGAGGTTAGTAGGAGTTCGGCAAACACAGTTTCTTTATCCAGTAGGTGGAAGGGAGATTAATCAGCATATGTGCCAGTCTCACTCTCGCCAGCTTCACACTTGGTGTGTCCTTATCACAGGGATTTGCACAAGCTTTTTTTTTCAGCGGGTACACTATGCTTTCTACTCTTCACATGACTAGTTCTTCATTCTTCTTCAGATCTTAATTTAAATATTCTTATCACCTTATCTAAGTAGGTATCTCGTTGGTAAGTCCTTTGCCAGTTTTTTTCAGAGTACTTACCACAATTTGTAACTATTTTATTTGCTTGCTTTTCTGTCTTCTCCTCCAGAATATGAGGGCAGCAACAATCTGTCTAGCAAATGCCTGCCTCACAGTAGGTGTTGAATAAATAGTAACTGAATAAATGTTGGCCAAATTATATAGCAAAATCATAAGACTATGTGTAGAGACAATGAATTTATAGAAATATATCCAGGAATTCTAAACTGAGGCAGCACTGAAGAAAATGCACTTACTCTTTATTTTTCTATACAGCATAATCTTAGCTTAAAAAAATGAAAAGTCTTTATGTAAAGTAAAAATTTGCATTGATAAATGCTCCATTCCTTGTTTACTTAAAAGGAGAATGTCTATTATGGTCCAATGGTCTAAAAGAGAATAACTGCATCATTTAAAAGCAAGGTTATGCTCATTTCTTTTACTGCTTTTTCTATAGCAATAGCCTAAAATCACCTGTTTTGGTATGTGATACTGTTGGTACTAACATATTAGTCATTTTCACATCTTTTTTCCTTTTTTTTTTAATTGAAGAAAGTGAACTAAGGAACAGGGAGTAGCTCTGAGTATATGAATATTTGGCTGTACATACCATTTTTTAGATGTGATGAGATGGTAACTGCAAAACACATTCTACAGTGGTGACAACACTTTCACATGATTGTATATTTAAACACCGAAGTGCTTCTCTTATCTCCTGTGAAAGAGGAGCACCAGGTAATGCTACACCTCAAAGCATTTTAACTTTCATTATGAATGGCAGGGGTCTATTCGCTTTTGCAGAAACAGTCTGTAAGAAGCAACCTTTGACTTCACTTATACACCACATTATTTTTAAAGGCAGCTGCATTTATAATGACTGATCTCCACTTAAGACCTATTCAACAAGGTACACCTTAACATCTAAGCTGTTAACAGAGATTAAAGTTAATCTTCAGTGATGGCAGGAGTGGAAATGCCAGGAAATATCCTAATTCTGGAAGGAGGCAAAAGTGAAAGTAAAGGTAGGTGGGGAAATAGCAGAGGAGGATCAAGGAATACTGGATGGCTAACAGGTAAATGAAAATGATTGTTGCCAAGACACTGGGTGGCTAGAGCAGGCCTGATGACATGATGGTTCTTGCTGAATAAGAAAGGGCAGCAGCACCAGCTGAGGAAAGCTATGCATGTTATGATGACCATTTTTGCCATCACCTGTGTCCTGAAAGTGCCTGGGGTGAGCAAAGACCATGGAGGCAGGTGGAATTGGTTTTAAATTCTGGCTCTGCCACTTACACTATTTGCAAAACTTGAGCAAGTCATTGTCAAAGCATCACAAGAGGTCCTCTAATAACATCTTTTCATTCAACATCATTCCCTCATAGTGCTGATGGGGAAAAAAACAGATTCCCAGCTGGGGCCCCTGTCTGTGTGGAGTCCATACATTCTCCCCATGTCTGCATGGGTTTTCTCTGTGCACTCTGGTTTCCTCCCACATCCCAAAGACACGCATGTCAGGTTCACCAGCAGGTCTACATGGCCCAGCTGTAGTGAGTAGGGTGTGTGTGAGTGCGTTCTGCCTGTGATGGGATGGTGTCCTGTCCAGGTGGGTTCCTGCCTTGTGCCCTGTGCTGATGGGACAAGCTCTGGCCACCCACAACCCTGAACTAAACTATTTGGGGAAATAATTGTCTTACTTGCTTTAACTGATGTTTCTTAAATGTATAGCTCACATTTATTTCAATATTAGAAGTGATTAATAGTACAAGTGTTTGGGGTCTTTATTTAGAAGCCTGGTGATATTTTTGTGACCAGAAATAGGATATAAGAACTTAAGTATTGTTTGAATCAATTAACTTATGGTGAAGTTGGTTCTGTTATAGGTTGTTTTGCTTGAAGTCTCAATTTCTAAGAACCTATTGATGACATTAGGTGAGAAATTACTGTAGTTTCTTCTTCTGTTAAATGAGGCTAAAACCTAATTTGCCAAGTTACTGTAAAAACAGGAGGCTAGCCTCTTTAGGATCTGTTCCCCTGCCCAACTAAATTACTTAAATGGAACCAAAATAACCAAATGATTAGCCTTTCTCAGGTAGGAAGTCACATGTGGATGTGCGAAGGCTTACAATCAGAATTAAAGGATATAAATTAAACAGTTGAAGCAAATATTTTTCATGAGCAACCTAATCATGAAACACAGAGTAACTTCTGACATTTTAGAAAACACTGAGGTAAGCCCTGACTGTAGCCAGGAAGCTATAGTGCATGTGTAGCTGGCATATCTGACAGGCAAATACTGGCCTTTTCTGGTATCCTGTATCTCACAAGCAGTGCTCCCTGAAAATTAATACTTACTGAGGGTTTACATACCACTGGCAAGACATTGGGGATATAAGAATTCTGGACATGGCCTATTCTCTGGTAAAAGTTTTATAACTTTTTGTCAGATATTTAGAGTGGCGAAGTAAAAAAAAAAAAAAAAAGTGGGAGGAAAGGAGTCAGGAAATTTGAAAACTGAAGGAGACAATATAAACTCAGCTCCCCTTGGCAAGCAGGAGCAGCCTCACACCTTCCGTGTTTGTCTCTCCCCACTCTACCCTGGTACCAAGGCTAGAACTCTGCATAAGAACCTGAAAGAAGTGTGGGAAGGAGGATGCAAGAAGAGGAGAGGAACCTGTCACCAAAGTACAATTTTGCCTGGGGAAAGCCCAGCCCCTTCCTCTCAGGAACTGAATGGGGAAAGGCATGAGGTGGTTCCTCCCTAGAATGAATGGAACTGAAGAGGAAAGGATCCGGAAGTAGGCTAGTGAGTGCCAAGGCCTGCATAGCTCTTTGTTCCTGGGTGGAGCAAAAAGAGAGAAAAAAATGCGGGGAAGCATCAGGCAGCTTCATTAGCACCCTACCATTTACCTTCCTTCCTAGCCTTCTTCCAGGTTCTTCCCAGCTCTTTTGCCACCACTGGCTTCCCCACTCCCCTGCCTTATAATAGCATCCTATCCCTGACCTTCATACTTCCCATCTTCTTTCTACGCGTCAAGAGAGCCAAAGGCTTTTCCTTGTCTATATTTTCTCAAGATTGCAAATCTCTACGAAAAGCAACCTAATTGCCTCATAGTTGACAGCTCCCTCAAACTATGAGTGTTACTCAAGAAAAGTATTATTCTTGCCAGGTGCAGTGGCTCACACCTCTAATCCCAGCACTTTGGGAGGCCGAGTTGGGCAGATCACATGATGCTAGGAGTTCGAGACCATTCTGATCAACATGGTGAAACCCCATCTCTGCTAAAAATACAAAAATTAGCCAGGCTTGGTGGTACACGTCTGTAATCCCAGCTGCTCTGGAGGCTGAGGCATGAGAATTGCTTGAACCTGGGAGGTGGAGGTTGCAGTGGGCCAAGATCGCCCCACTGCACTCCAGCCTGGGTGACAAGAGAGAGACTATCTCCCTGTCTGCAAAAAAAAAAAAAAAAAAGTCTTACTCTGTTCATTAAAACAAAGAAATATGAGGGAGATATTTCTGGACTTGGGGCTTCCTACCATTTCTAATGCAGATAGTTCAAGGAGCACATGAGAAACATGGCTGACTTCACTAGAGAAGCACTCCTCTGGCTTTTAGTTTTCATCAATTTCTGCCTTTTCTTGGCTAAACTCAGCAATATCCACTCTAATCCCAGGTCCTGATGCATTCTTGCTATATTCTTCAAGCCTAACCTTAACCTAGTTCTGTATTATCCCAGTGATAGTGGTGATGCTGTGATTTACCAGATACCTTAACTCCAGGGCTACAGCTAAGTTACTTTCCACAAAGGTCCCAGAAGATTGATTCTTTGCAGCCAAGGTCATGACTAGATGATATGTTCTGTCAAGCAAAGAGAATCACAAAACCTGGCCTGCAAGTGAAAGAGGAAGGACAGAGTGGAAGCTAAGCTAACAACAGGCTTTGCAGTCAGACTGCATAGGCACAAATCATGGTTCTTCCACCCATTAGCCTGTAGTACTTGGGGCAAGTTAGGGCTCCCTCTTCTCAATTTCCTCACCTTTAATCTAGGAATAAAAGTAGTCTCTATCTTGTAAAATTGCTATAAGGATTGAATGCAATAATGTATGTAAATTGCTTAGTATAGTCTGAATAAGGTATTTGTGTGCACTATGTGTTAGCTGTTACTAAGTTTTATTCATATTCTAGAACTTTGAGGTTACAACAAAGTATTTATTCAAATACTGAGGAATGAGCCACCTTTGTTAATCCAGCTTTCCACAAAAAGAAGATGGCTGTCAGTATGACAAGAATGAAATTCAGGCTCTGAACTTCCATAAGAGAACGTCAACTCTGCTTCCGGTCTGGTATCTAAAGTATATTGATCCTACCTTAAGCAACAGCACTGAGTTTCAGCACTTTAGGCGCTTGTCAAAAATTCAACTACGAACTGGCTGAATTTAGCACTTGCCAAAGGATTGCTTGAAATGCCTCATTTTCTGAACCATATTATATTTTCTCCCTAAAGAAGTGCCTTCACAAAGTTGAGATTTAATGTTTTGTCCTTGTTTCTTTTTCTTTTTTTTTTTTTATGGAGAATCAATATAACAAAAATCCATTTGAAGGAAACTTTATGTCTTTTGTAAAAATCATATCCTGGACAGCAAATAGGTTTCGTCTTAAGTTCCAGTGTCAAATGATTGGTAGTGACTGTCTGGAGTGCTCTGTTAAGAAGGACAGCAAGGTTGAAATGATCGATTAGCACTGTTTGCCTCGGACATCACTGAGGAAGTATGTTGCCTTAGTGATAAAGTTATCCACCCTACCACTGCCATAGTTGAAAGCCTGATGCATTATCTGTAATGTAAGGACCTGCTAAATGTATATATCCCTTCTTAAATTCAATGCCATTGGCTTCCCACTACCGAGCTTGATAGCTCTTAATGCCTCTGTCTGAGTTGTCTGCCTCCCATCATCAAGTAGCCCTCCAAACTTGAAGATAAAGTTACCTTAAAAGTTTCTAGACTACCAGAGGTACAAGGAGGAGCTGGTACCATTCCTTCTGAAACTATTCCAATCAACAGAAAAAGAGGGAATCCTCCCTAACTCATTTTATGAGGCCAGCATCATCCTGATACCAAAGGACGGCAGAGACACAACAAAAAAAGAGAATTTTAGACCAATATCCTTGATGAACATTGATGCAAAAATCCTCAATAAAATACTGGCAAACCAAATCCAGCAGCACATCAAAAAGCTTATCCACCATGATCAAGTGGGCTTCATCCCTGGGATGCAAGGCTGGTTCAATATACACAAATCAATAAATGTAATTGAGCATATAAACAGAACCAAAGACAAAAACCACATGATTATCTCAATAGATGCAGAAAAGGCCTTTGACAAAATTCAACAATGCTTCATGCTAAAAACTCTCAATAAATTAGGTATTGATGGGATGTATCTCAAAATAATAAGAGCCATCTATGACAAACCCACAGCGAATATCATACTGAATGGGCAAAAACTAGAGGCATTACCTTTGAAAACTGGCACAAGACAGGGATGCCCTCTCTCACCACTCCTATTCAACATAGTGTTGGAAGTTCTGGCCAGGGCAATTAGGCAGGAGAAGGAAATAAAGGGTATTCAATTAGGAAAACAGGAAGACAAATTGTCCCTGTTTGCAGATGACATGATTGTATATCTAGAAAACCCCATTGTCTCAGCCCAAAATCTCCTTAAGCTGATAAGCAACTTCAGCAAAGTCTCAGGATACAAAATCAATGTGCAAAAATCACAAGCATCCTTATACACCAATAACAGACAAACAGAGAGCCAAATCATGAGTGAACTCCCATTCACAATTGCTTCAAAGAGAATAAAACACCTAGGAATCCAACTTACAAGGGATGTGAAGGATCTCTTTAAGGAGAACTACAAACCACTGCTCAATGAAATAAAAAAGAATACAAACAAATGAAAGAACATTCCATGCTCATGGGTAGGAAGAATCAATATCGTGAAAATGGCCATACTGCCCAAGGTAATTTATAGATTCAATGCCATCCCCATCAAGCTACCAATGACTTTCTTCACAGAATTGGAAAAAACTACTTTAAAGTTCATATGGAACCAAAAAAGAGCCCGCATCGCCAAGTCAATCCTAAGCCAAAAGAACAAAGCCGGAGGCATCACACTACCTGACTTCAAACTATACTACAAGGCTACAGTAACCAAAACAGCATGGTACTGGTACCAAAACAGAGATATAGATCAACGGAACAGAACAGAGCCCTCAGAAATGATGCTGCATGTCTACAACCATCTGGTCTTTGACAAACCTGAGAAAAACAAGCAATGGGGAAAGGATTCCCTATTTAATAAACGGTGCTGGGAAAACTGGCTAGCCATATGTAGAAAGCTGAAACTGGATCACTTCCTTACACCTTAAACAAAAAGTAATTCAAGATGGATTGAAGACTTACATGTTAGACCTAAAACCATAAAAACCCTAGAAGAAAACCTAGGCAATACCATTCAGGACATAGGCATGGGCAAGGACTTCATGTCTAAAACACCAAAAGCAATGGCAACAAAAGCCAAAATTGACAAATGGGATCTAATTAAACTGAAGAGCTTCTGCACAGCAAAAGAAACTACCATCAGAGTGAACAGGCAACCTACAAAATGGGAGAAAATTTTCGCAACCTGCTCATCTGACAAAGGGCTAATATCCAGAATCTACAATGAACTCAAACAAATTTACAAGAAAAAAACAAACAACCCCATCAAAAAGTGGGTGAAGGACATGAACAGACACTTCTCAAAAGAAGACATTTATGCAGCCAAAAGACACATGAAAAAATGCTCACCATCACTGGCCATCAGAGAAATGCAAATCAAAACCACAATGAGATACCACCTCACACCAGTTAGAATGGCAATCATTAAAAAGTCAGGAAACAACAGGTGCTGGAGAGGATGTGGAGAAATAGGAACACTTTTACACTGTTGCTGGGACTGTAAACTAGTTTGTAAACCATTTTGGAAGTCAGTGTGGCGATTCCTCAGGGATCTAGAACTAGAAATACCATTTGACCCAGCCATCCCATTACTGGGTATATACCCAAAGGATTAGAAATCTTGCTGTTATAAAGACACATGCACACGTATGTTTATTGCGGCACTATTCACAATAGCAAAGACTTGGAACCAAATGTCCAACAATGATAGACTGGATTAAGAAAATGTGGCACATATACACCATGGAATACTATGCAGCCATAAAAAATGAAGAGTTCATGTCCTTTGTAGGGACATGGATGAAACTGGAAACCATTATTCTAAGCAAACTATCACAAGGACAAAAAAAACAAACACCGCATGTTCTCACTCATAGGCGGGAATTGAACAATGAGAACACATGGACACAGGAAGGGGAACATCACACTTCGGAGACTGTTGTGGGGTGGGGGGAGGGGGGAGGGATAGCATTAGGAGACATACCTAATGCTAAATGACGAGTTAATGGGTGCAGCACACCAACATGGCACATGTATACATATGTAATAAACCTGCACATTGTGCACATGTACCCTAAAAATTAAAGTATAATAATAAAAACAAAAAAAGTTTCTAGAATCAATTCACACAGGAGGAGATTGGAAGACAGGATTTTTCTCAAATGAAAGCGAAAAGAGTAAGGTAAGGAAATTTAGTGTGGGTTGGATAATATGAATGAAAGAGCCTGATTAGTGGTATTAAGCATATGCAGATGAAGAGGGTCTGAACAGAAAAAGGAGAGCCAAAGTGGGGGGAAAGAATTTGAAGAAAAATATTCTGATCATGGGCCATTAGGATAATGATGGTACTTGAGACAGCTCAAAATGATAAATCATTACAGTTTGTTTTAAGAAATTCTTTGCCAGAATCATTTCAGTGATATTAAATTGTTTAAGTGGACATCTGTGGAGTGCTATGGCAACTGGGTGGGTTTTATGGGCCAGTCTGGTACATCTATTAAAACAGCTACACCTGTTTTATGGAAGCTGTTTGCAACGCTCCTTTGCCAAATATAAATCTGGCTAATCCTACTTTTTTGTCATTTTAATTCTATAGATTACTTAAACCAGAAGGAATGTGGGTGCACTAAATTGTTTCCAATTTAACAAACAAAACATGTTTTTTTAAAGCACGAAAACCATACTCAATTTAGATGGCAGTTTTAGAACTTATGGTTCAGTTTTATATATTTTCTATTTGAAAGATTTACACAACAAAATCAGAGCAAAACACTCTAATGGGAAAGCATAAAAGAGACTGCCTATTCTTATTCTACTCAAAGATTTGCTTATTGGAAATAGGGTAAATATTTTATCATCCAAATTTAATAATAATCACCATAACACACCAAAATAGAAATTGTTATAAATATCAACAGTAATAATTATAATAATAAATACCTATATATGGCTTAATCTGTGCCAAGTGCTATTCAAAATGCTTTATGGATGTTGTTTAATCTTCAAGCAACCCCATGGGATATGTCCTTTTATTATTCCCATTTTATGGATGAGGAAACTGAGGCACAAGGACACTAAGTAACCTACCTAGGATCACATGGCTAGTGAGTATCAGAACCAGAATTCCAACCCAGGCAGTCTGGCCCTAGCATCTGTCATTTAAACCACTTTGATATATACTGTCTTCACCCTTGACCCAGAAATTCTAATGCATATGTGTAAGGCATGATTTCAGGAGTTAAGTTGGGCTATTTCTGAACTTTATAATGATATCTCACCATTTCTTTGCCTGTCATTAATGTTTAAATGGAAAAGGGAAAGAATGCTTATAAGTTTGGCTGGGGAGGAAAGGAAGAATCCAGTTGGCAGGACAAGTTGGTGATAGCATTCCATCCTGCTTACTAAAATTAAATTTTCTCTACTTAGATAAAACCTTTCTTTTGAAGTGCCCAAGAGAACTTCTGCAGTAAATCATCAATAATTGTTATTGGCTTCCTATTTCTTTGTTGTGACACTATATTTGTCAGAATATCCCTGAGTGGTCACTGTTTTTTGAACTGTGAACTTAGTGGTGATGGTATAGCTTCTGAATTGGTTTCTGACAACTTTTGCCAGAGGATTTAGGAATAATTATTATTCTTAGCCCCACCAAACCACATGGTGACACCAGCAAACTCTGAAATGCAACGAGCAGAATCATCACACTGCAGAGAGATGTAGCCTAATGACATGGAAAGAGATGCCAAATCATTTTTAACTTTAGAGGGTCTTGCCTTGCAAGATTTAATTAGCTTACAGTTGAGAAGTAATTTGACATTTCAAATTATAGTTATTTAAAGACTCTTGAATTGCTCATCATTTCACCTGATAAAACTGCAATATAAGGAGAGTCCCATGGAAAAAATGATTAGCATTAAAACAAAATCTCTACAGAGAAGGAACAAAAAGAGTGAAAAGAAAACCAGCATGGGAATCAGACAGCATTTGGATATAGCACCACAGGTGTGATGTTGGGTGGGCTATTACTGAACTTCTCTGAGGCTTTCTCATTTATAAATTATCACTTACAGAGTTTTGTGAGAGTTAAAGGAACTTGGTAAAGTTGCTGGCATGGTGTGATTGCTCAATAAATTTTGGTTACTTTTTTTGGGGGGCTGAGGGGACAGGATCTCTCTCCATCACCCAGGCTAGAGTGGCATGATCACAGCCCACTGCAGCCTTGACGTCCTGGGCTCAAGTGATCCTCCTGCCTCAGCCTCCTGAGTAGGACTGAGGCACTAGGACTGGAGGACTGGGACTACAGGAGCGCCCACAATGGCCAGCTGATTTTTCTTAACTTTATTTTTGTAGACAGGGTTTTGCTATGTTGCCCAGACTAGTCTTGAACTCTTGTGCTCAAGCCATCCTCCTGCCTTGGCCTCCCAAAGTGTTGGGATTACAGGTGTGAGCCACTGTGCTGGGCCAATTGTGGTTCATTTATTAATATTCTTCCTATTCTCTTTTTATACTAACACTGAAAAATTTCTCTGAGAGTCCCCATTTCTGAAGTATATTCCTTCCTCTTCAACTCTACTCTTGCTTTTCAATATCCATCATCCCTGGCCTGATTGACTGCAACAACCTCCTAATTACACTCACCATATCTAGTTTTTTTTTCTCAGCAACTTAACACATCTTTAGAAAAATAACCAGCAATGTTATCTTCCTAATTCATAAAAACTATCAATCCCTTGCCTACAGAATAAAATTAAAAAATCGGTGCCTATTTCTTCAGATCCATCTATCATCACTTCTCCACTCACTCCTTATTCTCCAGCCAAACCAATATACTACACTAGTAGTGTGGCTTTTATACATGTTTATCTCTCATCCAAAAATGCCGTGCTTACCATTTGTGATTTTTTACTTGTTCTATGAAACCCGTTAGCAACATCCCCTATTCCATCAACATACCTCTAACTAAAAGGCAAAAATAAAAACTCTATTTTATTTAAAGTCTTCATAGCAATTATATATACTTCTGTTAGCATTTCTCTCACTGCATTCTATTTGTTCTATATTATTCTATTTGATAGTCTATGAACTCACTAAGGAAGGGAATTATTTCTTATTCATCTTTGTATCGCCAGGGTCTGGAACAGTCTCTGGAATCTTATACAGTACACATTGAACAGACACTGGATGAGAGAATGTCCAGACAGTTTTCTCTAATAGTTCACTCTCATTCCCAGTTCAGCCTGTAAGCTATAATTACATTTCTCACTTTTGGCTAACCATTTGTTTTCCTTTATTAGAAACTAAGGGATTTTATCAACATGAACTGAGCTAATGAATATTCCCTAACTGCTACAAATACATAGTCTGCGAAAATATAAGAAAAATGAACCTTCAATTCATACGTAAGTTTGAAAGATAAAATAGGAAGTTGATTGAGTATCAGAATAAAGAGGAAATAAAAGCCAGGGCCAGTCAGCTATCAGTTGATGCCAAAGTAGGGTATGTGTTTATTGGGGGATGAGCTATCTAGCCTAAATGTATACAGGAACCAGAGGGTTAATATGTGTGCATGTGTGCACAGACACATAAAATTATAGATGGGGGCCTCAGGATTGTAACATCTATAGTGAGACAGTAGATGTGGCCTTGGGCTTAAATAAGGTGGGAAGCTAGAACTGAGCCTCCTGCAGAAAGCCAGACCTTGGAATTACTGCTCCCTCTGTGAAAGGAGTTCTAGAAACTTCTGTATGGAAAATCAAAAACAAACTAGCAAAAAATAAATAAAAAATAAATAAGCTTGTCTCTGTCCAGGCTTTGGGTTGGGTTGAGTAAAAAGTCGACTGTGAGAAATTAAGTCCTTAAGACCAAACCATGTACATGACCTGAGTTTGACTTTAAACTACCCTTGTGAGGGAATCCCAAGCTGAGAAAGACATTTAAAAACTCGTTCTATGTCAGTAAAAGCCTTGACGTACCCTTTGAATAAAATGCAAAGCTTTTCTAGGGGGACATACCAGCAATCCATGCTACAGGTACTCTCACGGAAAAAACGACCCCCAATAAACATAAAGTCACATTCCAAAGTTACTAACTACACAAGGAAATGATACACCATGAGGGAGAGTCAGTATTTATAATAGGAAGAGTCACTTCTTTAGAACTTCAGAGAACAGAGCAATTTGAAAGTCACTGTAAAATATGTTTAAAACTATAATAAGTAAATAGGATACCATAAACAACAAATTTGAAAAAGAGCCAAATAGGGTTCTAGAAATTGAAATAATTTTTTAATAAAAAAGGACCTGCAAACAACATATTAAACAGAGCTAAAAACTTAGTGATCTGAAAGAAATTACTCAGAATGGAACACAGAGAGATAAAGGAAGAAACAAGGAGATGGATGGGATACAACTGGAGTTAAAGCTTTCTTAGGTAAGATGTTTGTGTTATAAGAGAATGAGCTATTAATTTCCTACTTTAAGTCAAATATGAGTGTTATAAATTTAAGGGTAACCACTAAAAGAACAGAAATAAAATATAACTTCCAAGTGGTCAAGGTTAAAAAATAAGAATCATGTACTACATATAACAACTTGAAATTAATCTAAATGTATAGCCTTAAATTGCCTATTAAAAAAAGTAAGATTAAGCTTCCTGGGTTAAGCATTCAACTCAAAAAGTTGGAAAAACAATATATTACAAAAGTGGAAAGAAGGATTAAGAAAATAATTGAAATGGAAACTTTGAGAGTATTACCTAGAGCAAAAATATGATTCTTTGAACAGACCAATGAAATGCAAAACCTCTGAAAAGATTAAGTAAGAAAAATATACAATATTAGAAATTTAAAAATACAGTATCAGCATTGTACAGATACAGCAGAGAACAAAAAACTGTATATACTTTTACATATATAGCTATCTATAAACTCTCACATAACTCTTATAACTCTATACTATTAAACTGGAAACAAAATGACACTTCTAGAATATTATAATTATTAGAATTGACAAGAGAAAAAAATAGAAAACTTAAAAATACCTATAACCATTAAAGAAATGGTATTGGTGGTTAAAAATCTATCCACTAAAAAGCACCAGGTCCAGAGGTTTTAAAGACAAGTTCTACCAAACCTTTAAGGAACCCAATACAGATTGTTTGAGATATAAAAAGGATTAAAACACCCCAACTTAATTTATCAAATATAATTTTATCATAAAACTATGTGAGGATGACTAGAAAAATTATAAAATAATCTAATAATGAATGTATGTGTCTACAAGTCTTAAATAAAGGAAAGAAAACTCAGTCTAACAATGTATAAAAATACCATATTTGATGACCAACAGAGGTTATGGTCAAGAATGGAAGGAAGTTTAAATATGAGAATATCTGTAATGTCATCCATGACATTAACAGACTAAAATCAAAAACATATGATCAACTGGACAGGTGCAGAAAAAAAGCATTCAATGAAATTCAACACCCATGAATAATAACAAGCTTTAGCAAACTAGAAAAGTAAGCACTTTAATCTATGACTAAGTTATATTTTTAGATCCTGTATCAGTCAAGACGGGTTATACCAAAGTAATAAATAACTCCCAAATTTCGGAAACTTAACATGTAAAAGATTATGTCTTCTTCGCACTACATGTTCCATGGGGCAGCAGGAGGTTCTGCTTATTCTGGTAACTCAGGGACTTAGGCTGGTACATTCTTCCATAATCAGCAGAGCATTGAGATGGGAACAGGGACATTTCTAAAGCATCTTCCTAAAGTGACATATGTCAGCTCATACTCATCTTCACTGGCTAAAGCAACTACTTCACCATATTTCCTTGTCAACTGTGACAAAGATTTCTGTAGTTTGTAAGCTACTCAGTTTATGATACTTCGTTAAAGCAGCCCAAATGGATTAAGACAATATTTCTGAATCTTCAGTTTCTCCTAAAGAGAAATGTAAATATAAAATATGTAGCCATTATTACTTCTAAATTTTCTTCAACCTCTAGTCTTTTTTCTAAATCACTGTCATTTAAAAATATTTCCCATTTTAGTCTGATTTCTGATTATTACTTTGCAAATGGAAGCCTGAAGAAAAAATGATAATTTGCCAAGAGACCATCAATACCCATGGTTCCAAATGTTATGATGATGTCTTTTGCCAGGAGTTCATTTCTAAAATATTTACATTCTGTGTTTTTTTAAAAACTATTTTTCCAGGTTAGATAACACAAGATGAAATTAGTGCATTGCATTTAAACAATACTAAATGTAAAATTAATGATAAACTGGCAGAAATAATGAAAAATCATGAGTAAAAGTCAATATTTTAGTCCTTTCATCACTGAAATCAATCAAAATCCGAAATTTCCACTGTGCCTTTTTTTCTTTTAGAGATTTACTCTTACTGTTACTAAAATTAGGACTAGTTGAAAAATCCAGATGATGATGTATAAGACACACAGAATCTAGGTCATTCTATCATTGGCTCTAGATCTGCAATACTAATAGCAGAGCTTCTTATGTAAAGAAAGCAAATATACAGAATTAAGATAGCAAGGAAGCCAATGTACTTAGTAAGAACATGCTGTTTTTAGAATTTTTGCTAATGATGATTACATTTTAAATTCTTCCTAGAGTTTCACTGGATACAGCATTACTCATTTCCTGTTTTTAAGAAGTATTCAATATCACTGAAGTATGCAAAGATGACACTATAAGTAGTTCATGACCAAAGATTTCAAGATTCATTAATAAACTTTTTTAGATATTCCACTCTACCTAAGGAAGATAAAATTTTGTAATATAAGTACATTCCAAACAAATCTATAAAAGTGAACTTATGAATAAAAAAGTAAAGTTTGACTTGTATACTGCTTTAGATAAAATAAACAGAGGCTCAGTTTATACTTCACAAGCAGATGATTATTTTTCAATATTGGAAGTAAATTATTTCCATAGTCTATGTAAAAAATTTAAATGGCAGTAAGATATTCTGACGAAGAAAATTTATTACAAAATTAATGCTTACCATATATGGCTTCATTTGGATGAGAGCAAGAAATGAGCCATTTATTGATTTATTATTAGCAAAGCACAAGACAAGGCATGAGCTATAGCAGAAACAGAAAAAATCATGACCTCTGAGAAAGGTGGTGGTCAAGAGTTTCAAAAGAGTCAAGAGTTAATCCTGTGGATAAAGTATAAAAATTATAGTAAATGAAAGTAATTTGTATCAAGAGAAACTCCCAATGGAATTAAATGCCTAAGAGGTGCCTGCAATGTACTGATGAACAGCATGTAATAAAGACAGGAGCACAAGGAATGCATTTTGTGTTCTCACAATGCCCTGGAAACACTCTGAACTGCAGTCCTGATCAGCCCTCAGAGAGGTCCTGAGATGAAGAAATTAACAACTCCAAAGAGACAGAAATACTGGCATAGTAAATTAAAGTAGAAATGCCTTCAAACAATGTCTAGCCTCTGCTACTAAGGCTACTAGCTTCTGCTATGAAGATGTAAAATAGAGCTGGAATTCTTTGTTTATTTATTCTTCTTCCCAAGAATAACTAATGAGTTGTAGTTGGTTTTGTATACGTGTATTAAAAATGCCCGGTTTTTGTCTTGTTGCTAGAGAAAAGACACTGCATCTACTGCTGCTGAGGAGTTCTTTGAAATACCTGAAGTACTGCACAGAGTAAACAGGAGCTTTTCCAGGTCCTAGAATGCTCTTTATATGGCTTGCTCCTCATCCTTTGAGTCTCAGTTCAAATGTTACTTTCTTAGAGGTACTTATCCTGACCATTTTTCCTAAAGTAGATCTTTCTGTGTACTTTCTTATTGCAGGGCTGAGCATCCCAAATCCAAAGATCAGAATTCTGAAATTCTCTAAAATCTGAAACTTTTTCAATGCCAACGTGATGCTCAAAGGAAATGCTCACTGGAGCATTTTGAATTTCAGATTTTCAGATTTAGGATGCTCAGCTGGTGTGTGTGTGTGTGTGTGTGTGTGTGTGTGTGTGTAATGCAAATATTCCAAAATCTAAAAAAGTCTAAAACCTGAAACATCTTTGGTACCAAGCATTTCAAATAGGAATATTCAACCTGTGCTCTGCGCACTTATTTCTTAACACTCACTTTGTTATTTTTTTTAAAAACCTGCTTTTCTTTCCTGGCTCCATACCAGAATGCAAACTTCATGAAGACAGAGATTTTATCTGCCTTGATAACTGAAAATATTCTCAGCAACTTTACTTGGCACATAGTGGGCTCTAATACATATTTATCAAATGAATGAATTTCCAATATAAAGAAAACATTAAAAATATCTTTTCTAGGTACACAATCATGAACACTTGAATGAATCAGTATGTCTTTTTTCAAAGGAAAGCATTTACAATATTTTCTTTCCCTTGAGGTCTACATTATATAAATTCCAATTGTGGTCCACATCCTTAACAAACTGTAGTTGAACCAAATACTCATCAGTAACCATCTCCAACCAGATTTCTTCAGCTGTGACCTCTGACAGAGGCTCAGTAACAAACTGCTTACCTCCTCCTAGGAAATTAATGATGTCTTCTAAAGGCTACATATGAAACAGCATGTTCAATAAATATTCACTGAATATTAAATATTCTTGAATGTTTGAACCTCAATATGAATGAATCACACTCCCCTCAAATAATATACTTGACTTCGATTACCTTCATGGTCTATATTTGCTTAAAATATATCCCTTAAAACATCAGTTCCCAACCTTTTTGGCACCAGAGACTAGTTTTGTGGAAGACAATTTTTCTATGAACGGGGTAGGGGGAAGTTATGGTAGTACAGGGAGGGGATGGTTTCAGGATGAAACTGTTCCACCTGAGATCTCAGGCATTAGATTCTCATAAGGAGCACACAACCTAGATCCCTCACATGTGCAGTTCACAATAGGGTCTGCTCTCCTACGAGAATCTAATACCACTGTTGATCTGACAGGAGGCGGAGGTCAGGTGGTAATCCTCTAGCCCCTGTTCACCCCCTGCTGTGCGGCCCGTTCCTAACAGGTCACCTACAGGTACTGGTCTGTGGCCCAGGGCTCGGGGACCCCTGACTTAAAAGTAAATTAGGTTTTACAACAATTATTCTAGATAAGTCAGCAAAATAAGGAAATTTCAAGTAGGTTCAAAATGTTACTGATTTAGCAACATTATTACTGCTGCTAAACACATAGTAAGCAAACTATTGTTATTAAGTTCTACAGTATTAAGTATTTTGTTTCTATAATGCTTGTGGCAACCCTATGAAATGGGTTAGCATTGTTATCCTCATTTTACCAATAAGAAACCTGGGGCACAAGAGGTTAAATGACATGCCTAGGGTCTCAGCCAGCAAATGGTAAAGCTGAGATTCAAACCCAAGCAGTCTGATTCCAGGTTGTGTGCTGTTAATCACTAATTTACCCAGTGCGATTCTAAGATGCCTGCCTGCAAATGTATTATTACCAGTACCTGACCAGGTTAAGCACAAAAATTTAGATTGTTCAGAAACTTATATACCAATTTGACATTGCTGTAACATCCAAGTATGTGATCACTGGGCTCATCCACTGGACAGGGTGATTGGGGTTGTCAAAGGCACATGGGGAGTGAGTGGCATATGGCCCTAACTATGTACTGGCACTATGTACAGTCAGTTGAATGACATATTGGTCAGAAAAACAAGAAATTAAAATGAAAGAAAAAAACCTCACCTCGTTCTTCAAATGGTTTGAGAAGTCCTAGTCTACACTAATCTCATTTGAATTGTCAGAAGATCTTCATATCTCTTGGGAAAAGAATGCTGGAGTATCACATTTTGCCTGCCTCCATCAGACAATAAATACAAAAATAATTTTGAAATTTGTTCAAATTTACATTTATAAATTTAGTACATATTTTAATGAAGACATTATATAAAAACATTTGAATATGTAATATATAAATAATTTGTTGCTCTTACTGCATGAAAATATAATGCTTAGTCAGGTAAGGTATGTAAAAAATATCTACATAAATATCCATCCAGAACTGGAAGTTTTCAGTTTTATCCAAAAAAGGGGAAAGCTTATTTTAAAATAAAATACATACTTTATTTTAAAGCTTATTTAAAATAAAAATACATATATAATTTACATTTTTAATTTATAAAACACCCCTGTCCCTCAAAAACAAATTTCAAGAATCTAACTCCTTGTTTTGGCTTTAAAATGATTTGGCAAGTGATTTAAATCAGATCCGGAGCTACAAAGGAGAAAAACGTGGGGAGTACTTTTCCAATTGAGGAATTCAAACTGTTTCTAAAATAGAATAGTAGTGTTGAATATATCTAACACCACAGAGGAAAAAATGAAATATTCCGTATATATTGATTTTCTACATAAACTATGCATTATTCCCTTCATTTTTAATAGAATGCTTCCTAAAATGCAGTACATATTTCTTTTTTTTGTAAATGCATTACAAACTTCTTTGTAAAAAGAGCATTCTGTCCGTGATTCAGAAAACTTTCAACAAAGCCTGTAAACTCTGAAGCAGGAAACCAGTACCGTGTGATTGACTGAAATAGAGAACGCTGTTTACCCCTAATTCTGGCCTCTTCTCTAGTTATCTTCATGGTGAATTTCTTTTTTTTTTATTTCCAACTTTTAAGTTCAGGGGTACCTGTGCAGAGTGTGTGTTTGTTACATAGGTAAACGTGTGTCATGGTGGTTTGCTGCACAGAACATCCCATCACCTAGGTATTAAGCTCATCACCCATTAGCTATTCTTCCTGATGCTCTCCCTCCTCCCATTCCCCATCCTCCAACAGGCCCTAGTGTGTGTTGTTTCCTTCCACGCATCCATGTGTCCTCATCATTCAGCTCCCACTTATAAGTGAGAATGTGTATTTGGTTTTCTGTTCCTGCATTAGTTTGCCGAGGATAATGGCTTCCAGCTACATCTGTGTCCCTGGAAAGGATATGATCTTGTTCCTTTTTATGGCTGCATAGTATTCCATGGTGTATATGTACCATTCTTTCTTTATCCAGTCTATCAATGATGGGCATTTGGGCTGATTCCATGTCTTTGTTATTGTGAATAGTGCTGCAATGAGCATACATGTGCAAATATGTTTGTGATAGAATGATTTATATTCCTTTGGGTATATACCCAGTAATGGGATTGCTGGGTCAAATGGTATTTCTGCCTCTAGGTCTTTGAGGAATCATGACACTGTCTTCCACAATGGTTGAACTAACTTACACCAACTTCATGGTGAATTTCCAAGGAGACACTTTCATCTGCCTCAATCAACCTTTCCCTTTCTTGCCTTTCCATTTAAATAAAAACCTATCTTCCTAGGTAACTACAGAGAGGGAAGAACTACAGAGAAAAGAAACATACATGCACACAAACACATGTATACCTTGCAAGCTCAGCACACACTGAGCTTAACTGACACAAAATTCCAAGTCAATGGACTTTGCATTTTCTTAAAGCCTGCAGTGCTCTCATTGCTCACAGGCCTTTTTCTGCCTGCTTCTGAGATTCATTACAGATGGCTAAGGCTGGAAGTATGATGGCTGGATAAGTGGGGCATTACTTGATCTTCTATCATTCTGGTAAGAATTCTATGAGGCAGAGAAAAGGCATATGCCATTATCCTCATTTTTTTTTTAATGGGGAAACTGCAGCACACAAAGAAAGTTAAGTAACTTGCCCAAGGCACCAAGCAAATTGGTGTCAGAGAATTCAGGTCTTTAAAACTGTGTTCTTCTCCTCGTCAAATAACAATAATGCCTTCCCCCTTCCCCCAGTTTTTCCCACACTTGTTATCCAAGTACAATATATATCTAAATTGTATTTTATGCATTTCTAGACACCTCCAATCATCAAATTATAATTTCCTATTATGTTTTATTTGAAATGTTAGCTTTTAAAATGATATCCATAAATCTTTCAAACATGCAATTAGCAGGAAGAGGAGAGAAAGGATGGTTGGAAATAAAAAAAAAAGAACAGTTTCAATGACTTTGCTCGGGTAAAGAACCAAAAGACTTAAAAAAAAAAACAAAAAGCAAAACCAACAATTCCGGCAGGTGAGGGAAGAAGGTTCTTTGTGACAGGGTTTTGCCTCTTTGCCTCCTTATGCAGCAGGGGGAGCTATGGTACTATTCGTTAAGGTTACAGGAAGACAACAAGTCTGAAAAAATAATCCAATTCGCTCCTAGGATATCCATTTTCTTTTGCATTTTCAAATGGTTCTTTTCTGTTTTTGAAACGTTTTTCCTCCATGCCTTGAGAACCTCAGGCTGCACTACCTATATCCCTTTTTCTCTGGAATGACAGAGGGTTACCACCTTCGCTGTACATCCTTATGATGTCATTTTGATAAAGATATTAGGAGATACAGTTGCACAAAGCAGCCTGCCTTCCTCTGCCCCATCACTCTATAGGTTTCCTCCATAATTTATCAAATCTATTTTTTAGCCCAAAAAGAGGACTCTCCTGCAACTGAAAAATTCCCAGAACAACCACTGGCACATGTCTTTACATTTTCAGTTGCAATCCATCAGAAATGATTGTCAAAAATATCTCACTAAAAAAAAAAAAAACACTATTTGTAGAAATTTTAAAAAATTTATTCAAATAATAAATTAAAATGTTTCCAAAAGTAGTCTAAGTAATTAATTTTGAGTAGAAAAAAATCTTTTTTAAGAGTTTATAGGAATCAAAGAATTTCATCCTTATATAAGGCTGCATCTAACATTACTGTGAAGATCAATTTTTTTTCAACTGAATGGGCTCTTGGGTCCCCAGAGATTTGGTTAAACATTATTTTGGGTGTATCTGTGAAGGTGTTTTTGGCCGAGATTAACACACAAATCAGTAGACTGAGTGAAGTAAATTGCCTCTCAAATGTGGTTAGGTCTCATCCAATCAATTGGAGCCCTGAACAGAATAAAATGGTGGAGTAAGGGAGAATTTGCTCTCTCTGTCTTTTTAGTTGGAACATAGGTCTTTTGCCTTGGGACCCTTCCAACTTGGACTGGAGCTTATACCATTGGCTCTTCCAGTTGTCAGGCCTTCAGACTCAACCTGGAACTATCTATTGGTTCTTCTGACTTTTCAGCTTGCCAGACTGTAGGTCATGGGACTTCTCAGCCTCCATGACCACATGAGCCAATTCTGTATAATAAATCTATCTATCTATCTATCTATCTATCTATCTATCTATCTATCTATCTATTGTTTCTGTTGCTCTGGAGAGCCCAGATTAATATAATTACTAATTTCATGTTAAATTGCTTTGGTATAAATGAAGCAGAAAAAAAAAAGTGTTTACTTACAATATTCCCTTCTAGGTAACAACACCATAATTGGGTTTTCCAGTAAACAACAGGCATAGTTTCCAAACTTATTTATACAAATAAATCTCACCTGTAATAACTGTGCTTATTTTTATATATTTGACTATAAATAGATGCTAATATGGTAGCAAAAGAGAATGAGGATATCACCTCTGTGTCTTCCTGATATCTGGGAAAGCCCATTCTAGGCTTCACGTAACAACCCACATGGCTGCCTTTATCTACTCTTCCTACCAGAAAAATATTTAAAACCTTTACCAAAAAAACAGCTGTGATTTATCTTGTTTGTAATTTTTAAGATACAGATAGATTACAAATAGATGTATAATGTATGACATACACACAACTTGAAATCCACAAACTTCGTTATTTGCTTCCTCTTAATAAGTTCCTTTACATAGACAGCCTTTTCAGGTCAGAGTATATAAACAAATGTACTGACTGCCTACTATATCCTGGGCCAGGAAAACAAAAAGTGTGCTATGTGAACTGTTTATTGCTGATCTACAGAGAAAAAAAGAAGCTAGAGCTGGAACGTAAATTAAATTTATCAATAAGCAAACATTTTTTTCCTAGCAAGAATTTTCCAAAGAAGGAAGGAGAGTGCTGATTTATATTGTGGCCCAAGTTCCTTATCTCACTGTAATGGCAACTTTGAGTAGCATTGTTCTAGGTAATTCTAGATGCTTTTGAGACAGCCAGGTGGGAGGGGTTCTCCAACAGGCATGCCCACTGGGAAGAGCGCACACCGGGGTGGAGCCACAGAGGTTCGCACCTTTTGCAGCCGGGAGGAGCCTGGCCCCTCCTCTTCCTGTGTGGAATCTGGGATTCAAGCTGTGGTGGGAAGCACTCCAGGAGGGACTCTGGCCTTGTGGAGGATTACTGTTTCCCCTTTTCACCCAAAAAACTCCTGCTTTACTCACCCTTCAAACTTTCTGTGAGCCTAAATTTTCATGTCCCTGGGACAGACAAGGACGCTGTCTTTAGCTGAACTAAGGAAAAGTCCTGCAACACTTTCAGATGTATTATTTTGTTATTTACAATGGCTAACATTTATTTAATTCTATGTGCCCAATACTTGTACTAACTCATTTAATCCTCATTAAAAAACTTGTGAAATAAGTACTATTAATATTATTATCTCTACCCTATAGATGAGAAAAATGGAAGCACAAATGTTAAACATAGTAAGTAATGAGCTGGGATCTGGCTCTAGAACATGCTCTTACCACTTCACTATACTGCCTCCTTTGAAATCTGAATCCTCATGACAATTCAGTGAGGAAAACAATGTCGCCATTTAAGAGTTGAGAGACAGCACTCCTAGATTGTTAGCTTCCCAAAGACAAAGGCTGTACTAATTGATTCTGCATATTCTCTCTAGAAGCCTCTAATGATGGCCTCAAGCTCATAGGCATTGTAGAGAAATGCAGAAGTGTCATGAAACATGGCCTTCTACTCTCATGAAGCTCACAACCTCATGGAAGAGATACTACCAAGTACAAAGTGGAAGGGCTGCTCTGCCCTGGGCTTGGAAGAATGAATGTGAGGATCAAAAAATTATTTTAAGGACCTCTAAGCCTTGAAAGTAAACAGGTCTAGTCTTGTAAGACTGTAAATGCCCACATGTCTTATTCTACCATTTGTACACTAATGAGATACAGGAAGAGGGACAAATAAGTAACTCTCGATAGCAATGTACAGACTGTAGGGTCTGTCTTCTGCCTTGGGGAGTGGGTATAGGGGGGTCCAGCAAAGAATTAGACAAATAAGATCCCATAGAAGGCAAGGTCAAGACAGTACGTAAATTTATCCTACTCTCCAAAAGTGGGATTGAGAGCTTCAGAGTCCACAGTCAGTCTTCCACAGAGTTGGCCTCTGTGATTTGAATAAAGTGATCAAAAGCACTAGCCCAAGCTTGAAGGTTACTGTAACCAAAGTCTTTGGACTTTGGTAGCTGTGGGGTAGACAGCTGTCTACGGGCAAGTCCTTCAAGGTCATGGCAGATTCTGCAGAAGTGGTACAGACTGCAGTAGCAGCAGTGAAATAAGCTCATTAAGTTTAGGAGGGACCCTCTCAATACATGTCTTCTGAAGTAGTAAAAGATTAGGAGCAAAGATTCTGAAGTCTCATAGGTCTGTTTTAAATGCCCATTTTGTTCCTTGCAAACTGTATATGACTGTGGAGAATTTAGCTATCCTCTGTAAGCCTAAGTTTACTCGTTTGTAAATGGGTGATAACAATATCAAACTCATGGGATTAAACTATATGACACCCACCCATACAGTACTTAGCATAGAACATGCCACAGACTTAACAAAACAACTGATGCTTTACTGCGTCCTTACCATGTGCCAGGAACCCTTTTAAGCTCTCATGCCTATTAACTAATTTATACTTCACAATAATCCTATGAGGCAGCATGGTTGACTACATTATTAATCACAAACAGCCCCTGCTCCTATCTTTGTGGAGGAGGATATAGCCCCACCCTGTGACTCTAGGGTAAGCCATGTGATAGACATTAGTCAGTGGAACTGAGCAGACATGACTCAACAGAAACTCTCATCACGATACTGGCCCTGATGATGACGTGTCCCAGAAACAGGAGCTACTCTTCACTCTGCACCGTAGAATGAAAAAGAACAAAGATGCAGTCTACCTATTGCCCACATGTCATGAGCAAGAAATAAATGCTAGCCATTAAAAATTATGGAGACTTGTGGATTATTTGGTATTATTACTAACTTCATTTTCTGTGGAAGAAATTAAGGCACACAGAGGTTAAGTCCTTTGTCCAAACTCACACAGCTGGTGGACAGTTAAACTCCAAACTCCTGCACATTAACCTCTGTTACCATCATCTTCACTGATGAGGACTGAGACACCTAGGGAAAGTTTATTAGCAGACAGACATGAGAGGGAGATCCAGTGATGCTAGAGGAAGAGAAGAAAGCAGATCAGCAGTCCTGGTATTTAAATGTGATAGAGCTGCAGATCTGTAAGTATGGTAAGAGTGGATGTTATTGTGAACACACAGATTATGGGAGACTTGAACAAGGTCAGTGGAACATATGCTTTATGTGGTGGAAAATTAGAAGCCAGTGATGTCTGGGAGGCCAGGCAAGAAGCCATAAGACAAACAGGCAGCCAAATGGCCTTGAAAAATGCCGACTAGAGATAGCAGCAAGGAGGCTGCTCCAGGCTTCAGACAAGGAGCTAAGATAGGGTGGGGACAGTGGCAGTGTCAACAGAGGCCCACTGAGTAACAGGAGACCTTCACTGACTATCTGAATGTAACAAGAGTCACATATCCAGCCATGCTTGTTAAACGAAAGGAGTGAGGGATAGACAAAGGGGCCTAAAGACTCAAGCCTGGGACAACTAATACCATAATGATGGTATCCAGGCCTGGAGTTATAGATCTTGCACAATTAAATGGACTCTTGGCCCTCTCCTTGGACTGTTACAGTGAATCACTAGAGCTGACTCAAAAAGGGTCTTAATAGATCTTAACAGGACTTCAGGGATTGTACCTGGTGGTAGTTGGCAATTGACACACTAGAAAATACAGTTTCAACTCTGAAAATTTAGTATAGAAATACTACATCTGAATTTTCTTCCTTTGCTCTTTTGCAGTGTATTCTATTTACTGTTGCCATGAAAACTGTCAGAGCCAAAAGGGAGTCACTAATGTAAAAAAAAAAAAAAAAAAAAAAAAGAACCTGACAGAGCACGGGAAGGCCACAAAGAGAGAGGGTTCTTATGCTTGCTTATGCTTGTATGCCTCATAATTAAACAGGCTCTACAGAAACCACAACCTTGCATGAAGGCCATCACAACCATATGGAATAAAAAAACTCTGCAAGAACATCTGCCCAGAAACTGCCTGTCCAACCTTGAACTGGTGTCACCCTTGATCTTGCAGCCAGAGATAATTATTTCAAAACAATTATGTAATCTCCTTCATTTCTTCCTTTAAAAACTTTTGTCTTCCTTTATCTCTCTGAAAACACACATACTTTACCATGGCATATGTATATTCTCATTGCAATGCTTCATTCCCAAATAAACATCTTTTCTTTTAGCGAGGCTCTCTCTGTTATTTAGGTTGATACTACAATACCCTCCATCTGCATGAGATTACTGAGATGGCCAGGAGTGGGTATGGATAAAGCTTAAGGCAGAGGTGTGGTGGTGAAGAAGAGATGTTTCAGCTTCAAATTCCAGTCAAAATCTTTAGCAGTCGAATCTAGCTGGAGTCAGGGAATCTGAGCATGATCATGGTAAAGACAGTAATGCTTGTGTTAATTTTTTAAATAAAGGAAACAATAACCTGATAGTAAGATCTGGAAATAAAATCTTTACCAAGGTAGACAGGGGACTATGAAGAGATTTGGAAATGCTGATGGAGGCCCTCCAACTTGAAGTCAGGGGAAACTGGAAATATTTCAGGGCCTGTCAAGTCATGAGACAGTGGGCACTCAAGGAGAATCGGGAAGATTTGAGAGGTTGAAAATTCAGATGAACAGAAATGGAGGCAGAGAGTGGGTGGCAATTGGAGGGCATACAGGATGTGAAGAACAACACAGAAGGTTTTGTTCCAGGGATGAGAGTAGAGTGTGTTCCCCTCCACAAACAGGAAGGCCCATTTGGAGAGTTTCTGGAACAGAAACCTCAAGAGATACCAACTGAGTTGATATTTAGGTGAATAATATATGAAAAATATCACAGTTTGGAACTCAAATTAAGGTCACTGACTGGAAATTCAATCATAAAAAGACATCACCCAGTGAGAAAGTATAAAAGAAAACTTGATAGGGGGAAAAAGGAAAATGGATTTAAATTAAATGATGAAAAATAAGAATTAACTTATTAATTCCAAGAAGCTTAAAAAAAATTAAATGTTACTAAAATAGGGTGCATATTGGAATTACAGCAGTAAGAGTTAGTAAAGAGAGCAAATTCAAAGAGCTGAAGCCTGCCAAAGGGAAAGAGAAAGAAAGGAAAGAGACCTAAGAGATTTAAATCAATGGTAAAATAACACACATTGTAAATTATAATTTATGTACTTAATTTCTATACTTTATCCTTGAAGATTCTTTGATACTACTATAAAAATACAAGGCCTGATAGACTGCCTCTATAGGACTGTATAGATCACCAAGAAGGCATACCACTAGAGGAAAGGGGGTGGTAATCTTATGCTTAGGAGTTTGGCCTTTGAAACAGTCTCTCCCTCTCTCCCTCTCTCCCTCTCTCCTTCTCTCTCTCCTCTCTTAAGTTTCACACTTATTGTCCAGGCTGGAGTGCAATGGCTCAATCTCAGCCTCGATCTCACCCCAACCTCCGCCTCCCAGGTTCAAGTGATTCTCCTGCCTCAGCCTCCCGAATAGCTGGGATTATAGGCATGCGCCACCACGCCCAGCTAATTTTGTATTTTTAGTAGAGATGGGGTTTCTCCATGTTGGTCAGGTTGGTCTCGAACTCCCGACCTCAGGTGATCCACCTGCCTTGGCCTCCCAAAGTGCTGGGGTTACAGGTGTGAGCCACTGTGCCGGGATTACAGGTGTGAGCCACTGTGCCCGGCACAGACAACCTTTTTCTAATCTCGCAAAAGCAGGGAATTAGCCAGGCAGTAGTCTGATTAGGGGTGGCCTCAGGGAAGAAAGGGAAGTACCTGATGTTACTATAGTAATCAGTGGGCTTCCTGGGCTCTCTGCCAATTAGTGTGGCTTGAGCGGAAGGACAAAAACGTGACATGTGGTAAAGAAGAGATTCCAAAACAGAGACATTCTAAATTGAAAAAGTGAACTATTAAACAAAAATGTAAGTAACTTTTGGCATTTTTTAATACCGGGTATATACTAAAATGCCGTGTGGTTGGCCACCATCTTAATCGTTTACCTAGGAGGCAATATCATGAAGTTAAAAGTCCATGGATTGTCAGAGCCTGAAAGAACTGAGTTGGGGATCCCAGCTCTGTTATCCCACTGACAAGCCTTCACAAAGTTACTCGCAGAGCCTCTGTTTCCTCATCTACAAAATGGAACAAAGGGGAATAAATACCTCTTACTCCCAGTAGTTGAGGATATGATAAGATGAGTGTGTGGCACACACACATGCTGAATAATTAGCTTCCCTCCTAAGGGATACATGATCCCACCTTAAGGGACATATCTCCAATTTCTAAACAAAAATCATTTGGAAAAATTAATGCTTCTAAATGGCATAACCAAAATGACTTTATGCAAGCAAAGCAAGTAGAAGTATTTCTAAATGTGAAAACATCTACAAAACATCTATTCAGTAACTTACATACTAAGAACTATCACTGATGATACTACCATTTTGATTTTTAAAAATATCCATGTACACCCTGGTCATCATAACAAAAAGAAAATAAAAGTTACTCACAAATTAACATCACAGAAAGTACTAAATTTTATGTTCCATTATTCTTTCTCTCAACCACAAATCTGATCTGATATGTCTGGTGTTATCTCCAAGTGCAGCAAAAGATGCCAAATCAATGTTCTCAGACTTATCAATGAGGATTGGTTCTATTTTTCTTCAACTTTCTTCCTCACTCAAAGAGATGTTATTTTAAGTAAATATAAAAAAGAGAGCATTTGTGACCTTCTTTTAACAAGAACTAGTATTTGCCTAGTTTGAAAAGCACTTCTTATCATCAAACTTATCCTCACATTAAGGAGGCATTTTCATTTTCTCCTTTTACATCTAAAGAAACTGAGGCTCCCAGAAAATGAAGTCACTTGCCCAAGGTCTTGGTTACTGACAGAGCTATAATGCATCCAAGATTTCTGACTGAATATCCAATGTTCTTCCCTACAGTTATATGATGAATCTAAAAGACTTATTTTATAAGCGTTTCAAGAGATACCAGAGGGGGAGAAATATACTGATTAATCACACTAAAAATGCAGCACAGAAGGGATGAAAAAAATGAAAGGCTTTAAAAATTATGAAATAGTGTAGATACCACTCTCAGTCATCTGAAGGTAGATATTTGTTTTATACATTGTAACAACCTAGTTGCTTATTTCTCTCTATTTTTTTTATAAGACAACAGATAGAATGGGTGGATGGAGGGAATGAACTTTTGCTGCACATCTATTAAACAGAAACAACTTATTGGTGGTTGTAGGTGTTATGCAGCCTAATCTATTTAAGAGATTCAGACACAGACTTAATATCTGGCAAGTCAGATGTGCTTCAGAATAGCAAGTTATAGGCTGCTTTTAGATGTGCTTTAGAATAGCAAGCTAAAGACTGCTTTTATAGTTGGATTATATTTATAGTACTATTCATTACCTTTCTAAACCCAAAGTCAGATGTATGCCAAAACAATCCATAGGTATCCCCATAAAAGATCCAAGTTAAGAATATCAGAGATACAGTGTGGTTATAAGCCTATATACAAACAGACGAAATCTCAACTTACTAGGACAAAAGTCTAAAGACATCTGTTATCTGTTTTCCAGACATGATATGAAAATGGAACAACTGATGTAATTGCCTAAGTGACAGACTATGCCTGATAATGGTAAAAGTTGGTCAATCCTGACTTTGCCACATTATAGCATTCCAGGAAAAGTTTGAAACTAACTTGCGGGAAGAAAGTAGAGGAACCTATAATGAAAACAACACATAGTACATACAATAGGATGAAGGTTTTCTAATTTCACTTTAATTTCCACCAATTACTAAGGGCTCTTTTCAGACTTGCTTTTGTTTAAACTAAGTGCAGAAGGAGCTCTCCTAACAGACCCATTGGATTAATGGACACTCTTCTCTTTGTGAAACATACCTACTTTTGGTGCCCTTGGCTATTCTCACCTCATAAATGTCTTGATATAGTTACAGGACAGGGCTTTTACTGTAAATACTTTCAAATAGGGCAAACCTATGAATGAGGTGCTGATCCAGTTTTAGGACAAGGGGGTCAAGCTAGAAAGAGAAAGAACATAAACTCCATGAGGACAGGAATTTTCATCTGTTTTGTTCACTGATGTATGTTAATAACCTGGATCAATTCCTGATGTATAGCAGGTGTTCAATAAGTATCTGGTAAACAAGCAAAAGTCTGTAGCACCCAACATGCATCTGAGGCACAGGAAGAAGGCTCTTCCTGCTTCTTGGAGGAAGCAAGAGACATATTTTTCAACCATAAACAAATGAGAGCATGGAAGTGTTTTATAAAATATAAAGTGACATACTAATTTAAGGAGTTACTATTATTAACATTAATTATTATGGTAAGATTTGTAATGCCCTCTAGCATTTACAGATAAGGCCACTATAATGGAAAATGTTCCAGAGTCTCCAAGCAACCTCTGGCTTTGCACAGATTACCAACTAGAGGCCCACGTTCCAAATCTGACTCTTGGATTTGGTCAACAAGTTATTATCTTTTAAAAAAATTAGTTACCAACCTCTAAAAATTAGAAGTCGTCATTAAAAATTGTTAATTTCTTGATTCTCTTGAGAAATCTGAAGATTTGGTAAACATGATCTGCTTTTCTACTTGGTAACAGTCAGCTGTGGCTGCATAGAGGCCCCCACCTCTTTAACTGGGGTACAAATTTTCCACTGCATAATCCCCACAGCTCTGTTTTGTTCATTTCCAATATCTGGCTAGTCCTGTGTAAACTTGTGATTTGAGCATCCCCACATTAGTGGATACCAACCACAGAACTCTGTCTCCAACATCTAGTTCTAGGCCAGAGAAAGTACCTTATAACAATGAGATTCCTAACTACCTATGTAACCAATCCCCTTTGGCTACAATGGTAGGATAGCCCTGATTTTTTACCCCTTACTCTATCCATACCTTTTGTCCTGTAATTTTGTAATGCCTTCTCCTTGGGCACGGTATTATTTGCTATTTTTTAACTTGGGGTATGGCCATGAACTTGCTTTGACCAACAAAATGAGGCAGAAGGGATGGTATGCTAATTCTGAGCCTAGATCTCAAGAGACCTTGTGTGTTTTTGTTCATTCAGTTGTGTCTCTACCAATGCCATGGGAGGGGCCTTGGTGGCTTCTGTTTTCCTTGGCCTCAGCTCTAGAATGAAAACATGTGGAGCAGACCTTACTCCAAACCTCATTGAGGAAGCAAGTCCAGCCACATGCACAGTTCAAGCCTATTTGCCTAGCCAGGCCTAGTAACTCCAACCTGCCCACAGATAAATGAGAAACAATACATAATACTTTTAAGCTACTGACTCTTGGAGTAGTTTGTTATGCAGAAGAAGCTAGCTGATACAGACAAGTTTCAGACAAAGTCACCTTACATAACACTATGTTCTGTGGTAAAAACTACTCTGAGAGACTATAATATACTTAAAGTGTACCATGTGTAAATTTTTCTGTCATATAATTTTTATATGAATTAAGCTTTCCGCTTATATTCATTTTATATCACTTTAGATAAACTAAAATGATGTGAATACTGATAACATCTTGCTTAATATCCCACCACTATATTTCTAGACAGACAATAACTGTTACATAACTATCATTAGCTCTTATTGTCATAAAAATTTCAATATATTAATGTAATTAAATGTCTTCATCATCTGTTTCTTAGTCTTCTTTGGTGGTCGATAGAGACTACATTATTTGCGAACTAATCAAATTTAAGTATTGATTACTTTCATTTCTAGATTTGATGAGGCTGAAAAGATATGAAGTAGTAAATCCTCATTTACAAAATATCCTAGATACATAGAATTAGATGAAAACAAATGTGGTTTTCAGTGACTCAAATCTCTCATTTATTTAGGAAAGCTAAAACTAACACCTTATAGTAATTTGGGCATATAGAGGAAGGGAAATAATTCACAAGATGGAATTACTCCTCAATGAAAAGTACTTTTAAATATCCCTACATTTATATGTGTTTTTATAAATATGTAATATACTGTGTATATGTATATATACACACATCTATACATGGAAGGATGGATGGATGGATGGATGGATGGACGGGGAGGAGGGGCGAATAGGTTAGAATGTAGACAGTGGCAAAAGGCTGCTACTGTCATCCCAGCAACCAGAATAAGCCAAGAAAACTATAAAATCATGACGTTAAAAAGCCATCAGAAGGAGATGGGAGGAAGATGGTGCCCAGGAGGCAGGGCTAATGTGCACCTCTCACTTGGAGAGACTGAATAATGTGTGGAGACTCACACCATGAACTTTCTTTCCAAGTACCACTGCAGGAATCTACCAGGAAAACTGGAAGAATTCACAGATCCTTTGAAAGAAGCAGCATGCTGCTGCAAATTCTGCGAGACAGGCAAAAAACTGTGAGTTCCCAAAGTGTGAGGTGGGGAATCCTGCCTCTGAACACACATCCCCACTGGGGAATCTGAAAATCCAGATCACGGGAGAAGGACTTAACCTTACCTACAGCTAAAACAGATTTGGGGAGCTGAATGAAATATAAAAGTAGAAGCAGTGGCAGGAAGAGCCTCGTAGGCAGTCCCATTCTCCAGCTTGAGCCCAGGGAAGCCAACCCTGACAATATCTCATAGAGGCCCTAGGGGAAGACAGCCAGCAGAATTAGGGAGGGGTCACAAGATGAATGAAGCTTCCAACTAAATTTTGTAATAGTTTCAACTGGACACAAGCTTTCTTGATCAGAATCTGGGTGGGGAGCAAATGGGAACTGTTACAGATGCAAACACAGGAGCTGCTGACATTGTAGGCAGACTGGGAGGCAAGGCCTGAAAGCCTTGCTTGCTTTCTCAGCGTGGAAGCTTATGGCCTGGGGCAGGTCTGAGTTTTGTGAGCAGGCTAACTGGAGCTAAACTCAGTGCTGTTAGTGGGGCACTGCGAGAGCGAGACTGGCCTTGCCAACTGTGTGGAGCTGGGTGAGGCCTTTTGCTACTGGATGTCACCCACTTCCCTGGCAAACTATACTGCACAGCAGAGGTAGCCATACTTCCCTCTGGAACAAAACCCCATTGGCCTGAGAACCACCCCCAACTCCCCAACAGTGGCTGTGGCAAGCCCCGCCCCAGGAGAGTCTGAGCTCATACTCACCTAATCCTGCCCCCATCTGAAGGTACTCCTCTACCCGCCCTGGTAGCTGAACACAAAAGACATAAACTCTTGGGAGCTTTGTGGCTCTGCCCATCACCTAAGAAACCAGAATACTTCCCCTGGCCAACTTAAGAGTAAGCTTAGATCTCCCTTCTACTACTGCAGCTGGCGCTCTCTGGAAAGCACCACCTCCTGGCTGGAGGCCAACCAACTCAAGCCATTACAGCAACTCATGACAGAATAATCTGGCTCCCAGCAAGGAGAAAACAACAGCTATGGCTAACAAGAGGGCCTGAGTCTGTCCATGCGACAACTTCACTGCTAGCATAACCAGCATTTGAGAAAGCCAGAAAACTAAACATGTCTACAACTAAGGACTCTCACAGAGCCTACATCACTGCCGTGCTACCTCCACCAGAGCAGGTGCTGGTATCATGGCTGGGAGACCTGACGACAGATCACATCACAGGACTCTTTGCAGACATTCCCCAGCAGCAGTCTGGAGCCTGGTAGCCCTGCTGGGTGGCTAGACCCAGAAGGGCAGTAACAATCACTGAAGTACAGCTCTCAGGAAGCCTCATCCCTAGGGGAAGTGGGAGAGCACCCTATCAAGGAAAAACCCTGTGGGACAAAAAACTCTGAACAGCAGGACTTGGGTTTCAGATCTTTCCACTGGTAGGTAGTTTCTCATAGCAGAGAAACAATTGCAATGTGGGGAGCAATAGGGAAAATCTGCACCTATATCCCAACAGACAGGCAGCCTCTGTGATCATGAAAGGCATTAGAGAAAGGGTCCTTGTTCCCCCCAGCACTCCATTGCAGACACAGCTGGGGCTTCCCCAACAGAAACACTGGATGCACTTATAGACAGCCTTTCTGGAAAAATCCAGGGTGAGTGCAGCCCCACAGAAGAAGCACACCCCAGATTCAGGCCGACAGAGGAAGAGTCACAATTCCTCCCTACTTGGAACATCAACATTCCTACAGATGAAAAGAGATGCCTGTCTGATGTGAATAGCTAAAACACAAGGACAGGAGCGAGGCTGTGAGGTGAACAGCTTTCCTGGTGACCTGGCATGGGAGCTCTGGTAGTTCCTACTCTTAACCCTGATAAAACCTAATTAAGAGCTTCCCCAGCCACACTCATCAAGGCTGGGACCTCAGCCCACCACTGAGTATTACATCTACCCACCTGCCTTCACCACAACTGGTGCCTACCCAGGAATACCTTCGCTATTGACTTGAAGCCTGAACGATAGACTGGATTAAGAAAATGTGGCACATACACACCATGGAATACTATGCAGCCATAAAAAATGAAGAGTTCATGTCCTTTGTAGGGACATGTATGAAACTGGAAACCATCATTCTCAGCAAAACTATCACAAGGACAAAAAACCAAACACAGCATGTTCTCACTCATAGGTGGGAATTGAACAATGAGAACACATGGACACAGGAAGGGGAACATCACACTTCGGGGACTGTTGTGGGGTGGGAGGAGGGGGGAGGGATAGCATTAGGAGATATACCTAATGCTAAATGACGAGTTAATGGGTGCAGCACACCAACATGGCACATGTATACATATGTAACAAACCTGCACATTGTGCACATGTACCCTAAAACTTAAAGTATAATAATAATAAAATTTAAAAAAAAAGTGAGAAAACAGTAAACAAATAAAGTGTACACCATGAGAGAACAAGATAAGCTTCAAGAGATCCCTGCCATTATAACTCCACAGGAGACAGTGAACCCACCCACACACCAAGAATATAACTACTACCACTCACCAGCATTGGGGAAAGCCAGTACACAAAGACTTTCTATAACTAAGGATCTCATACAAAGTCTTCACTCCTACAAGCACCAAGAATCAAATTAGGCTAAAATAAACATCAAAGTCTGGTCCTTAGGAGAGGAAAAAAGAAATTTAAATTTAAAAAACCACAGTCCAACCAAAAATAAATTCAAGAACAATTTTAAGAAATAGTCTAGCCAAATGAGAGGGAACCAGAAAAATAATTCTGGTAATATGACAAAACAGGGTCCTACAATACCCCAAAAAGATCACACTAGCTCCCCAGCAATGGATTGAAGTAGAAATCTCTGAATTGCCAGATAAAAAATTCAGAAGGTTGATTATTAAGCTACTCAAGGAGATACCAAAGAAAGGTAAAAACCAACTTAAATTAAAAAAACATACAGGATATGAATGAAAAACTTTCCAGAGGAATAAATATAAAGAAAAAACAATCACAACTTCTGGAATGAAAGACACATTTAGGGAAATACAAAATGCAGTGAAGTCTCAACAATATACTAGAACAAGTAGAAGAAATTTGGGATTATGTTAAACAGCCAAACAGAAGAACAATTGGTGTTCCCGAGGAAGAAGAGAAATATACACATTTGGAGAACTTATTTGAGGGAATAATTGAGGAGGGCTTCCCTGGCCTTGTCAGAGACCTAGACTACCAAATACAAGAAGCTCAAAGAACTCTGGGGAAATTCATAGCACAAAGATCATCACCTAGGCACACAGTCATCAGGACATCTAAAGTCAAGACAAAGGAAAGAATCTTAAGAGCTGTGAAACAAAAGCATCAGGTAATCTATAAAGGAAAACCTATAAAGTTTCTAGCAGAAACTTTACAAGCCAGAAGGGATTGGCGTCTTATCTGTAGACTCCTTAAACAAAATAATAGCCAAGAATTTTGTATCTGGTGAAACTAAGCTTCATAAATGAAGGGGAGAATAAATCTTTTTCAGACAAACAAATGCTGAGAGAATTCACCACTACCAACCCAGTACTACAAGAAATGCTGAAAGGAGTTCTAAATCTTGAAACAAAACCCTGAAATACACCAAAATAGAACCTCCTTAAAGCATAAATCTCACAGGGCCTAGAAAACAGTAACAATGAAAAAAAACAAGGTCTTTAGGCAACAGCTAACATGACAAATAGAATAGTACCTCACATCTGAATACTAACATTGAATGTAACTTGCCTAAATGCTCCACTTAAAAGATGCAGAATGGCAGAATGAATACAAATCCACCAACCAAGTATCTGCTGTCTTCAAGAGACTTACCTAACACATAAGGACTCACATAAACTTTGGGTAAAGGTGTGGAAAGAGATATTCCATGTAAATGGAAACCAAAAGCAAGCAGAAGTAGCTATTCTTTTATCAGACAAAACAGACTCTAAAGCAACAACAGTAAAAAAAGGCAATAAGGGATATTACATAATGATAAAAGGATTAGTCCAACAGGAAAATATCACAATCCTAAATATATATGCACCTAATACTGAAGCTCCCAAATTCATACAACAATTACTACTAGGCCTAAGAAATGAGGTAGATGACAACACAATAATAATGGGGGACTTTAATACTCCACTGACAACATTAGACAGGTCATCAAGACAGAAAGTCAACAAAGAAACAATGAACTTAAACTATACTCTAGAACAAATGGATTTCACAGATATTTACAGAACATTTTACCCAACAAATGCAGGATATACATTCTGCTCATCAGCACATGGAACATTCTCCAAGAAACACCATATAATAGGCCAAAAAACAAGTCTCAATACATTTAAGAAAATCACAATCTTTTTAAATAACCTCTCAGACCACAGTGGAATAAAACTGGAAATTAAACTCCAAAAGGAGCCTCAAAATGATACAAATAAATGGAAATTAAATAAGCTGCTATAGAATGATCTTTGGGTCAACAATAAAATCAAGATGGAAATGAAAAAATTCTTTCAACTGGACTATAATAGTGGCACAACTTCTCAAAACCTCTGGGATACAACAAAAGTGGTCTTAAGAGAAAAGTTCGCAGCATTAAATGCCTGCATCAAAAAGTCTGAATGAGGCCAGGCATGGTGGCTCACGCCTGTAATCCCAGCACTCTGGAAGCCCAAGGCGGGAGAATCACTTGAGGTCAGTAGCTCAAAACCAGCCTGGCCAACATGGTGAAACCCTGTCTCTACTAAAAATACAAAAATTAGCTGGGCATAGTGGTGCATACCTGTAGTCCCAGCTACTCGGGAGGCTGAAGCAGGAGAACTGCTTGAACCTGGGAGGTGGAGGTTGAAGTGAGTCAAGATTGCACCACTACACTCCAGCCTGGGTGACAGAGCAAGGCTCCATCTCAAAAAAAAAAAAAAAGTCTGAAAGAGCACAACAGAACAACAGACAATATATGTCACACCTCAAGGAACTAGAGAAACAAGAACAAATCAAACCCAAACTCAGCAGAAGGAACTAGAAAACAAGAACAAATCAAACCCAAACTCAGCGGAAGGAACTAGAGAAAGAAGAACAAATCAAACCCAAACTCAGCAGAAGAAAAGAAATAACAAAGATCAGAGCAGAATTAAACGAAATGGAAACAAAAAAAATACGAAAGATAAGTCTCTTTGAAAAGATAAAATTGACAGACCATTAATGAGATTAACCAAGAAAAGAAGAGAGAAGATCCAAATAAGCTCAATTAGAAATAAAACAGGAGATATTACAACCATAGTCATGGGTTACAGTAAAAGCAGATGCAGATATGACCCAAATGGACAATTATTTGTTAGGTAATTGATGAAGATTATTTCATCACCAGCAGCATTTCTTTCACAGGGATACATTTAAGGAACAGGTAAATAATTAATTATGAATAATTAATCCTAGTACTCAATGAAAGGTGCAGAGAGTTTAAATTTATTTACTTGTTATAAAAACATACCAACAATCTTGAGTATTTACTCCTTTCCAGGCACTTGCTAAGACACTGGCGCTTCGAAATAAAGCATAGCTTATCTCTTCATAGAACTCACAGTCTATTAAGAAAGACAGACCTGTAACTATAAATTGACTGAATAAATGATATCATAGAAGTATAAAAAGAATTTTATGAGAAGCACAGAAGATGAAGTAGTCATTAATTCAACTTGGAAGAGTCACGGAACGCCTTAAAGATAAGTCAGTTTTGAAGAATGAGTGGGATTTCACAGATGGAGATGAAAAAAAGGGTACAGAAGTGAAAGGATACACAAGGATATGAAAGAATGACAGTATGTGATAGTTTCCGGATCCTACCAAGAGTCCAGTGGTTTTAGACAGCATAAGGCTGAGGAAATATGCTGAGAGAAAGAAAGGAGTGAAGACTGGACAAGGCTATTGGAGCCAGAATGAAAAGACCTTCAATGACAGTATGTGATAGTTTCCGGATCCTACCAAGAGTCCAGTGGTTTTAGACAGCGTAAGGCTGAGGAAATATGCTGAGAGAAAGAAAGGAGTGAAGACTGGACAAGGCTATTGGAGCCAGAATGAAAAGACCTTCAATACCACAGTAAAGCTCATGGAAGGCTTTTAAGTAGGAAAATAATAAAATCAGATTTGCATTTTAGACATGTATTTCTAGAACTTATAAAACTGCATTATAATTTTTTACAAATTGGCCTCTTCCACCAGACTACAGGCACTTGAAGGGTAAGAAAACATAGCAATTGATCAAAGAAAAAGGAAGTAGAAATTAAAAAGAGAAATAAGACTTGAGAGATGAGATTAAGAAAATTATTTTTTTTCCTTGCAGTTGCGATTGTTATCACTAAAATTATTCACCAATACTGTTCTTACATTTGTATGTAATGTGGTTTATTAATATGGCAAGGCTGGTTCAATTTATTTCTACATAAGGACATAAGTAAAAGTTTAATTTTATAATTCTAAAGTAGACACTGTTTTAAAAGAACGCATAATTTCATGAAGACTTAGACATTAAATCATAAAAAGAAGTGTATCAGAGGAGAGAGCAACACACCAAAAGACAAAGGGCTAAAGGAGCAAATTAGCTGAGTCTGTCCCTTTTAAAATGCTCTCTTCGGAGTCCCAGCCATAGAATTCCACTTGCATTTCATCGATCATTGCTAGGTTACATGACCACGGCTAGCTACAAGGGCTCTAGGAAGGTGAGTCTATTTAGCTGGGCTCTTTGCTGTCCTGACCAAAATTCTGTTCAAGAAAGAAGAGAAAAATGGAGGAGCGTTTGTCACAGGAAGTAACTTATAATCTTGTCCAACTTTTATGTTAGATTGTGATCCAACTACTAAGAGACACATGCTACTGAACACTCTTCTCTCTGGTAAGCAGTTCACTTATGTTATTAATGTAGGCTTAGATACATGTCTGCTACTTGAAAGGATGTTCCCAGCATCATATAATTGAAAAATAAATTTTAAACACAGATAGCAATTATGGAAGTTTACCTAAATTCATTACACACAGAAAGGCTTTTGGGAGTCACTACAAATTGTTTGCATTTTACCTATTACATATATCAATACCAGTGAATGTATGCAGACTTGTTACAACTCCAACTAGCAGAAGTACTAACACCTGCACATATTCAATATTCTAGATGCTTACCAGGAATAGTAGGATAAGCCAGTTGCTATTTTCTTTCCTGACCAAATATTTTCCAAATATTAAGCTATTTTTGTTATTGCAAAGAGGTAACAAAATTCACAGAACTAAGCATTTAACAATTGGCTACCATATTTATGACAGATGGCTACATGCACAATTACTAACAGTCTTCCTACTGTTTGAATATAAAAAACAAAAAAACTACATAAATTACATGCTCAGTTGCCTTAGTTCTCATTTAACTTCAGGGAACAAGAATTAATTTGATCTATTTTAAATATTTGCCAACAGGATGAATTCAATGACGTATGGAAGGATAATACTGAATTCACTGTCTTCTACTTCTTGCCACTAAACAACATATCAGCTTGCTTTTCTACTGAAATTGCATAAAACAGATAGGACAGCTAATTTAAACAGTTGTTTGCACATTCAATATTTATAACCCAAATCTTGCATGACTGACTGCAAGCAGTGAGTTAGAAGGTTTAGCTCAGCTGCTGCCTAGAGTGATGGATGGCCTTGAAGAATTTCTTGTTCACTGACCAGATCAATCACATAACAAAATGGGAAAAAAAGATCGACCTTAAACTAGATTTCCAACATTTCCATCTGTATGCAAAACTGTTGCAGGAAGAAATGTATCATAAAACATAATGTGAAGCTACTTAAAAATAATAAAAATCCACCAGAGATGATGTAGAATGCAAATAAAAAAGATAAGGTGACTGGATAATGTTCTACTTTTTAACTAAATATTAACTGAAACTTTATGATATCTATAATCCAAATAGTGTTGTCAATTCATAGGGATATCAAGCTCAGACTCACAAGTAAAAAGAGGGTAACAGTTGAAAAGCCTGAATTTTTCTGACAGTACTTGCAGTTAAATTTTATTTAAGCAAACTAAAAGGTAGTGTTGTGGTAATTATAATATGCTGCTGCCTTTAATTATCTCAATGGCTGTCAAAAAATGAGTCTGTTAAGGAGTTAACAGACATCTGATGTTTGAAGTGAGAGTAATTTATTTACTAACGGCTAACCCTCAATTATCTGCATTAATTGTGGAAGTCAGTAGTACTACATATGGTGGTAGTACTACATAATGGTGGAAGGCAGTAGTACTACATATGGACCATGGCTATATGTAGTACTACTCCTTAGCAGTATGCTTGACTGGTTTGTGAGGCTCCGTGGTGAGCATCTCCTCCCAGCTCCACATTCAGTGATGTCAGATTGGTAGCTTGAAAGCAGCCATGGTGGGAATATTTACACCACAGAAACTAGCAAGTACTAAGTAAGCATCAGGACCCTCAATACTCCATTACCACCCCAGAGACAAGTGTTAAACATTTACCAGTACAGAACATTTTGCGAGCTCATTTCTGAGGTTAGGATGTGGATGGAGTAGTGACAATGAAGGGACTAAGGGCTGAAGAGCCTAAGGTTGAGTTCTTGCTGAACAGGTGCGGGAGGAGGCAGGCTTGGACCCTGAATAATCCTGCAGGTGCCTTGGGTGTCTAAAGATGTCTGTAGTTAGCAGCCAGGATGATAGAACTAGCATTTACCATTTCCTGTGGCCCTCAGGCACCCACTTTCTCTTCTTGAGTAAGTTTACTCCCACAGGAGTAGAAGTGAGAGAAGGAAGAGAAGCAGCTGGAGAGTGATAAGAAATGAGAAGGAAAGGAAGAAGGAAAAGAAAAATTAGGAAGAAGAAGAATAAAAGAAGTAAAAGGCAAAGGGCAAGAATAAAGATAGATGGAAGGGAAGAGAGGACAAAGAAGAAAAACAAGAGAAAGAGGGAAAAGGATGAGGGAGAAAAGGAAGAGAAAGAAGAAACAAAATGGCAGAAAAGGGGAGAAAGAAAAAGGAAGAGGAAAAGAAGGAAAGAGGAAGGAGGAGGGTTGGAGGGTGGAGGAGGAAGAAGGGCTATAGATCCCTAGAAACAGCATATCTAATCCTCTAGTTTATTCACATTTACATCACTTTAGGAATTAGTTGCATTCCTGAATGTCTTTCATAAAAGTACATAATACAGTCTTAGAACGAGGCCTCACAGACATCCAGACTTCTTTCCATAAGATGGCAAATTTCTAAAAAATGCCAGACACATGGTGGTCTGTTCCCAAGGCTAAACAAAAGAGATGGAGGCTGTAGAGCTGGGGACAACAACCTTTCTGCTGTTAAGTCTGTTTTACTCTTTAGAAGCCTGAGGTTGGGATTCTCTTTTGAAGCAATGGGCGAGGAACATATGGCCACATTTCCATATCTAAGCAGTACCAATGGATGCCCAGGCTGGGACAAAATGCTGGGAAGAAGCCAGATCCTGGGTTCTGGCTACCTTGTGGGTTTTTGGGAATTCCCTACCTGAGTGGTTCTTAAACTTCAAGTGTATCAGAATCACCTGAATGACCTGCTAAAAATATGGATTGCTGAGAGATAGCTAAGATATGGAATCAACTTAAGTGTCCATCAATGAATGAATGAATAAAGAAAATGTGGTATATATACACAATGGAATACTATCCAGCCATAAAAGGGATGAAATCCTGTCATTGGCAGCAACATGGATGAGGCTGGAGGATATTATGTTAAGTGAACTAAGTCAGACATTATGTTAAGTGAACTAAGTGACAACAGAAAGATGTTGTCACTCATATGTGAGGACCAACAAAAAATCTGAGCTCATGGAAACAGAGAGTAGAATTTTGGGTATGAGAGGATGGGAAGGGTATGGGGAGCAGTTGGTTAACAGATACAAAACTACAGCTAGATAGGAGAAATGAGTTTTGGTGTTTTGTGGCACTGTAGGGTGAAGACAATTAATTGTAATTTATTGTATATTTTAAAAAAGCTAGAAGAGAGGATTGTGAATGTTTATTATACAAAGAAATAATAAATGAGGTGATGAGTGTTAATTACTGTAATCATTACACATTGTATATACACATTGAAATACATGTATATGGAATCTGTATCCCATAGGTATGTACAATTGTTACTTGTTAACTAAAAAGGTTTAAAAACAGTTTTTTAACCCACAGATTGCTGGGTCATCTCCAGAGTTTCTCTCAGTAGGTCTGGGGTGGGGCCTGAGAATCTGGAGTTCTAACAAGTTCCAAGGTTGCCAATGTTGCTCATGCAGGAACTACACTTTAAGAACTACTGCCTTAATAAAACAACAACAGAAAACATCCTGGAAGTGCTTATAATCCAATTCTTAAGATCTTATTAGTTAGCATCTTAGCAAGAATGCAAATGAGAGAAACACAGGCTAATGATGAAGAGAGGGGTCCTGAAAGGGAAGAAGAAAGGCATCACAAACCAATGTTTCCTATTTACAATTATGCCCTCAGCTGCTGTGGCATCCACAAATGTCTCTCTAGTAGCCAACTCTGGAGTCTCTTCCTGACTTACCCTCTGAAATCTTCTCTTTACCCACAGGGCTAGGTCTTCTAAAACCATGTTTACACTAATGAGCACAACTGAACTGAATAGGGGTAAATGCCTGATCCAAACTAACACAATCATATTCTCCCTCTAGGAATTTTGAAATTGCCTGGTGGACTAGAAATGAAGCAAAACACAGAAAAACCTGAGATGAAAGATGGAGAGTGCTTAAGGGGAACTAGTACTGGCTTCCATGCCCAGCTGCATCACTGCCCCTTGAGCTTCCCGTGACATCCCAAAAAACTTGCGATTGAAGCTCCCGCTGTGCTTTAATTCACTCCAGTTGATGTGGTGAACAGAAATGAGTCCAAATGACACTAGTCCCACCCCACAACTTTCGCAACTTTACTGCTAAAAATTAACTCAAGTGCCTTTTGGCAAATGGAATATACACTGCTGATTCTGATATTGTAATCTTTAGTGACCTATGACATGGTTCCATCACCGAGCTGAGGAGAAACAAACAAAACAAAAAACCCTACATCCATTTTTTGGTTGTTGTTGGATACCAGAAAAGTCTCATACATCCTCCTTACAATTTTTTAAATTCCAGGTTAAACAGCTATTACTGTTTACTTGTGAGAGTATCAGTTAGGACTCTTTTATGTCAAAAGTTAATAGAAAATCCAACTTGAGCTAGTTCACCTAAATGGAATGCTCACATTATTGGAAACCACAGAGGTAGGGCAGGCTTCAGGAATGATTGATTCGGCAGCTCAAAGCTGTCATCAATGACCCAATTTCTTTGTTTCTCCCTTTCTGCCATCTGGTGTCAGCTCTGTCCTCATGGTCACAGGACGGGTGCCAGCTACAAACAGAGTGCAGCCCAGTCTAGCATCCCAAACAAGAGTCATAAAAGTCACTCAATTGGCCCAGCATAGGTCAGATTCCCATTCCTAAAAGAATAATGTGGCTAAATAAATGAAATGCACTAATTGACCTATCAATCAAAGCCCACTCCAGGGGCTAGAGTGTGATCCATTTTACTAGACACACATAGGCTGCACTGGCCAGGGGAGATACCCAAACAAAGATCAGATAATTTTTGGAGGAGAAACATGTGGCAAACTATGCTAGGTAGACAACTAATAAATGTCTACCACACTTGGTTCTTCCATGTGTTACTAGAAAATAACTTTAAAATTCCACTTTATTTTGTAACCATTACAGTAATAATTAGTTCAGGCAAGAATCATCATGCTAAACTGGTGAATGAGAGCTTAATGAGGAAGAAGATATTTATAAAGTCTCAAATTATATCCCCACAAATGACTCAACTAATATTAAAGTAAAAACATAGTAACTTTACTATGAGAAAACCTGGTAGAGACCACCTTAACCAAGTGATTGAAGTTAACATCAGCTGTAAACATCATAAGCCTCCTGATAAACTGCACTGAGAAGGACACAACATCACTTTATAGTACATTTCACCAAAGATGCATAACATGAATCTAATCCTAAGAAAACATCAGACAAACTCAATTAAGGGGCATTCTACAAAATAACTGACCTGTACTTTTCAGCAGTGTCACTGATGTGAAAGACACAGAAAGGCTGAGGAAACATTACAAATTAATGGAGACAAGTGAAAACTAAAGGTAGTGTGTAATTCTGGATCAAAAACATAATTGCTATGAAGGACAGTATGTCTATATCATAGATAGTAGTACTGCATCAATGTTAAATGGTTTTGAAAATTGTACTGTGGTCATGTAGTGAACGTCTTTGTCCTTAGTAAATATACACTGAAGTGTTTAATAAAGGAGTATGAAGTGTGCAACATACTCTCAAATAGCTTGAGGAAAAAAATGTGTATACACACACACACACAATCACACACATACAGAAAAACTGTAAAGGCAAATGTGGCAAAATGTTAATAATTGGTGAATATGCGTGAAAGGTATATGGTAGTTCTTTGTACTATTTTTGTAACTTTTCTTTAAGTTTGAAATTACTTCAAAATAAAAAGTTTTTTAAAAAATTAACTTTAGATTGCATGACCCTATAACTTGTCTCAAACCATAAGTGTTATTTTACACTGCATGCCACTTAAGTTTTGTAAGAGCGAAAAAGCTGAAAACAAATAATCAAGTTTTAACTTATTTATGTATAGAACAAGAATAATCAGAATAAATTCGTTATTCTGGTGGAGGCAGTTGTGTCTTGGCTAAGCCTGGTTGTTTCCTTTTCTCCTGAGCATACAACCAGACTACATTTCCTAGCCCGCAATGCTGTTACAGGTGACGCACGAGTTCTGGCCAGGGGAACATGATCCCAAACATCCTCCCAAGTGATTCTCCAGGCTCTCTCTTCCCTTGTTTGTTGAGGGATGTGGAAGATCCAGCAGAAGACTATGCAGCCCTAGATTAGAAGATGAAAGCAGCCTAGGTCCCCCTAAATGACCCTGCAGGACAGAGCTCCTATCGTTGGCCTGCAATGAATTGTAATATGAACAAGAAATGAAGCTTTACTGTGTTAAGTAAGCCACTGGGATTTGGGGATTATCTGTTAGAGCAGTTAGCCCACCTGACTGATATAACTACCTAATTTATAAAACAGATTAGCAGAATGGTGACACTTTCAAAATGTACTGAGGATGTCATGTATTTGCTTTTGGTGTATACTTTAAGATAGCAGTTTTCAAAATGTGGTTAAGGGATTCTTGATTCTCAAAGGGTAGTTTGGGGATAGCTAAGGGTCTGCAAGATCCCTTCAGGAACTCAGTGAAGTCAAAACCATTTTCATAACAATACTAACATGTTATTTGTTTTTCACTCTCACTGTCTCACAGCATATAGTAGAGTTTTTTAAAAGGTAACATGATGTATTATATCACAACAGATTGAATTAGAGGCAGACAGGAAAATCTACCTGTCTTCTATAATATTTAGCCAGAGATTAAAAAGATTTGCAAAAATATAAAATAATGCCACTCTTCACTAAATTATTTTTGTAAGTATAATTTTGGAAAACATAGATATTTTATGTATATGTTTTTATAGGTATTTATGCTAACATGACATGGATTTATTATTATTTCTAAATAATAAATACGTTTTAAATCACTCAGTGTTAATTTCCAACATGGTAAATATTGAGCTACAACCCACATAAAGAAAAGCTCTTTTGGGCTCTCAATGCTTATTAAGAGTGTGGAGGGATCCTGATCCCAAAGAGTTGAGAATTCTGTTTGTTTTACAATAAAGTATGAGTATATCTTATAGACATAACATTTTAAATAAAATAAACCCGTATTACCAATGCACAAGAGACAAGGATAGGAGGGTCCTCACTTGACTCTTGTTTACTCAAAAGCCACAGGATCTAGAACACAATAGGTGCTCATATATATTTGTTAAGTTAATAAATTGTGTAATAGTGGTAATATCCACTTTTAACAGTGCTGTGATAATTGCATGAAATAATGTGTGTGTGTGTGTGTCTGTGTTTATAGTAGGTTATCACTGTTCACAATTATTGGCTATCTCCCTTTTACGTAGGAGATTGAATACATCTCTGCCCTGTTGATTCTAGGCTTGGCCATGTTAACTGGGCTGGCCAATGAATGCAAGTAGAAGTAACATGTGCCACACATATATGAGGAGAAGCTTTAAACTCAATTGTGTGGTTCTGATGAGACTCTTGCTCTTCTGCTCTCACCTTATGGACAGTATGTCCCAAATAGGGGCTGTTTGTTCTATCCACATTCTGGAACGAGAAGACCCAGACCAGATACATAGTCACCCTATAGATAAAGCAGAGCTTCATCCTACCTGTAGCTCTCAGGTAATGTGAGACAGCTATGTATGAAATTTTGTAAACCATCTTAGCAAACCTGGCAAATACAGCTTTATATTTGTGACCCCAAACATCTTCCCATGTGTTCCTCCAGGCTCTCTCTTCTTTTGCTTGCTGACAAGATATAGAGGATCCAGTAGAGGACTCTAAGGCCCTAGATGGAAGATGGAAACAGTCCAGGTTCCTTGGCCTAATGTATTATAGATGTTCAATAAACCCAACCATTCTAATCAGTGTTATTATTTAGCTAGAGAAACACTAAAGAACTGTAGCTTAGTGCTTAAATGACTGCACAGTGCATCTAAATTAAGACAATTTAGATAGTATCATTAAGACAACCTTAGGATTCCAGGTAAATAAAGTACATGACCTAGGACAAGAGTGGCATCGAAGTATAATAGATCTGACTACAACGAAAAATTTCAGCAACCATTTACCCATGAATGCCAGTAGAGGGGCTCAGGAATATCTGTAGAAGTCACTGGCAGGTGACTGAGAGAAAAATAAGTTCTAAGGTGACTGTCAAGTGTCTATAATTAAAGAGCAGTGGAGTGGGTGTATCAGTCCATCTGCCCACCCTGCCTACACTGCCTTCTTAGGGAATCTCCTCCAGCTTACAACCTCTAAAATTGAAACCAGCTTTAGAGCACTTAGCTTAAAGCCAATGATTGGCCAAGGACCAATCCTGATTATTATTTCAAATCTCTGAACCAGCAGCTACACAGATTGAACCTGGTCACACAATGATGAGATAGAGTGATGTACTGGCAGCCATTATTGTCCATATGCACAATGGTAAGCAATCAGAAAAAGCTGGTATACAGAACGAAACTGAAGAACTGAGCAGCAGACTTACAAACAAAATCAGAGATGAGAGTAGCTGCGGGGAAGAGAGAGACAGAGAGAGAGAGAGACCTGTTGACAACTCTCACCTCCCACGAGGGCTGGACCAACTTTTGCAGTTGGGTTCCTTAAGATCTCTCCATGTTCTTCGAGTACATATCTTTTTACTTGAAATAATATAAATAGATTTCTGACCTTAACAATCAAATGATCATTAAAATAAGTTGCTTTGTTTTTTGCCTTGCTAATCCTGACCCAAGCAAAGAATCTGACTTATTTCTGTTGATTTTTGAAGGGGAGGAATGGGAGAGAAGTAGAAACCTGAGGTATCATAACAGAACTGACCTTCTGCATTTGAGAGTCCAAAGTATTTGCAGAAATAAATTCATTTTTTAAAAGTGTCAGAAATCATGATTATGAAATCATAATTACATGTTCACCTTTTTGCAACTCAAGCACTAAAAGGCAGCAAAGATATAAAGAATAGAGGCTAGAGAGTAAGAAGTCCAGAGCTTTAGTCCTCGTTTTGCCACTAAGAAACTGCATCCTGAGAGATGTCATACCCCTTTTCTGGGCTTCAGGATTTTTCCTAAAAAAAAACAGGGAATTGGATAAGATTTGTAGATGCTCTATAATAGAGAATTGAGCTGCCAAAGCTTTTTAAAAGTTTATGCTAACACATTAGTTTCTAAATACAGTGAATTTGTATATTTATTTCAAATCCTTGCTTGTAGCATATCAATAATCATATATGGTTTTAAATAATGCTAAGAAATAGTTTACTTTCCAAGTTATAGATCAATGGCATTTAACCTTAAAAAAAAGAGAATGGTAATGTCTATGTACATGAAACAGAAAGGTTGTTCCTACTTACTGCTAATAAATGCAACCAACCACCTACTATACTGAGAATTTCACATTACTGTCATTGTTTGAAATAGTTTATTATAATATATTTTAAATAAGAAATGACATAAAACAAAGATCACTAATGTGTTCTAATAAACAAGGGCAGATGACTTGATTTTATTAAAGTTGTCCTTGGGGAGTTCTATTATAGGCTTATATTCAAACTCAGAGTTTTTATCTAAGAGCCAACTGTGGTGTTCCATAGCTTTAGTATGGCCTTGAAAACATTTACTTGAATATATTTCAAGAAATACATGACCATTTCAAGAAAATTCACTCATTACCTAAATTCTCCTGCCTTTACATATTCTTTAATATAGTTACCATACTGCCAGTAGAGGTGTGGTGGAGAGAAATGCACTTCATACATGGCAGAGCAAATTAAAAGGTTAAATTAAGGCCCAGTTATTAGTATTCCAGGAACTAAGAGTTGAGAAAAGGAAAGCAGAACACTTTCTTAGTCCTGTTCACCTGCTTTCTACTCTCTTGTTTTTTTTTTTTGTTTGTTTTCCTGTCTTTTTCTAATCAAAGAACAACACCAACAGTATATCAACACATTTCAGTACAATACAAAATAACAAGCACTACTGAAGACCAACCATGCACAGAGAATTCTTCTAGGTGCTGTACGGATTATACTGATGACAAGATGTAGTCCCTGCCCTCAAAGTAATCATGTACACAATTGTGAGAACACCGAGGAAACAGAGATGTTACTACAACTGGAGGATATGGGAAGTATTTATGAAAGATAATGCATTTGAGTTTGACCTTAAAGAACGATTAGGGTTCAAAAAGTGGAGAGATGGGATTAGGTTGGATGAAAAACTTGAGCCAAAAGCTGAGAGCTTGTAAGGTGCTCAGCAACCAAGGTGGCTATGGCAAGGAGGAGGAGTGGAATGAATTATGGAGAGAGAGGTGCCTGAGATCAGAACCAGAAGCCTAGGGTGCCAGTGACCACCAACTTTGTGGGGCAACTGGATAAAGCAGCTTGGGCTGCAGGAAATCCTAATTTTTTTCCTACGGACTTGGGCTAAGACCAATATCTAAAACTTAAAATTCAAATACTGATCATTTAAAAAGTAAAAACAAATGTTAGAGTACCTCGAAACACAGAATTTAAATGTGGTTGAAAACTGCAACATCAGCTTTATTTGACTTTGTATTATTACCCAATTTTAAAAAGAAGGTTGAACCATATCAGTGGATTTCAACCTTATGAGGGAGCAATGGCATCCTCTATTTACGTAAAACATATAAACATTTTCATCCCAAAATGTACATAAGATTGAAAAAAGGGAGGATGAATTCTTTTGTTTGAAGTAACAGAGGGGATTCAGAAGTGTCTAAAAAGCAATGGATTGGATGATTTTTAATTATCTAACTCCAGCTAGCTCCAAAACTCCTTTTCTATGAATGGAAATTCTAAATGTATTACTACCTTGCCAATTTTAGGCCACCCATATCTTCATTCTGTCTCCCAAAAGAAGTATACCACAGAACAAACTGAAGCCAAATTAAAGGGAGTCTAATAATGCAAAGAATTAGAAAACTACTGAAAGAAGGAAATTAACATTTACTGATCATGTACTACCATGGCAGGTACTATACTGTAACCAATCTAAAGTCCAATGAAATCTACTGATGTCTATTGTAATATCTGGGCAATGTCTTTTACAAATGGGGCTTAGAAATGGAAAGTTCAACAGTAGCCTCATTGGGATCTAATTGCTCTGGCCCCTCAAGATCTCATGGTCTATTTGGAGGTGGAGAGTTGGTTGTTGAGATGTCTAAATAATAAGACCATTATGTAATAAATGCCATTAACAGACATGTGTAAGTGCTATTGTAAGATATGTTTGTAATTTACTACATGTATGCCATTCTATCAGTCATTTCTATGAATCCAAAGAGTCTGAGATATTTTTACATCCAAATCAGAAACTTCACAATTTATGAGAAAAAAAAATACAGAAATGAGGAACCCTAGAGACACCAGCCCTTCCCAAAGGGGGATTCTTCTTGTATTTACAACTACCCAACTTATCAAAGCCAAATGCCAAATGACTTCATAAGATTCCATGATATACTTGAATTGCTAACAATAAATTTAATTAACTACCAGAATACAAATGAAATACAGTGAAAGGGAAGAAGAACCAAACCAGAGGAGACATTTCTCTTGACCAAAGGAAAAAAACAGTGAGCTACATCTCATGGGATCAAAGAAACATATCTACTTGGCACTGCCATATCAAAAAAGGGAGTGCATTTGGAGGATCTGTGATTTGCTGTGAATTGTCTTCAATCATCACTGTTAGTGAAGGCAAACAGGGGCAGTGGAAAATGAGAAAGCCCTGTTTATTATGCCTTAATTCATTGGAAGTCTATCTGTTATATCTGTTTTTCCCAGGTCCTGCTTCTTCACAGTTGAACATTTCTATCTATGGTTCTACTTTGGTCTGGTCACCTGTAACTCCCTTCATACCAGAACTCTGATGCCAGGACTTCTTGCAGTTGTCTTTTAAATAAATAACTAGCATCCATACCAAAACAACAGCAATCACTTTTTTCTTCATGTTTATGCCCATCATTTCTTTCCAGATAGAGAACTTGCATAAGTCAATAGTCAAGGAGGCTCCCAAGGAAAAGCTGCATCTGTCTTTAGGGACAAGTAGCATGAAAGTAGACAGGCTCCATCTGTCTTTAGGGACAAGTAGCATGAAAATTTCACAAGGAAAGCAGACATGCCCAATTTGTCTCGAAATGTTTCACAAGAACAATTTAAAAATTAAACAGCAATGTACTCTTATCTATATTTAAAGAATATAAAACTTATAAATTAAAATATACTGTGCACTTAGAATTTGGCATTATTGAATTTAACCCTCTTAACTACCCAAAAAACACATATAATATCAGCCCCATTGTACAGATGAGGCTTTGACATACAAAGGTGTTCAGAAACTTGTCCCAGGTCACCATGCTAATAAGTGGTAGAGCCAGTAACTCCCTAGTCTATAATCTGTCCCATCACAGGACCCTGACTTGTGCCCTGATAATTGATATGGCAATCATTTAACTGCACAGTGGTTTAACAAATGTATGGCCTTTTATTATTTTGTTTTACATACTAAAAACACTTCCAAATATTTGTATATGTGCATTTTTTCTTTTCTTTTCTTTTAGCTTTGAACATGCATCTAGTTTGTTTAAAGAATATTGTAAAAATAATTTAGAAAAGTAAAATGAACCAAACTAAGAAACAGGAAAAAAAAACTTTTCATAAACATATGTTTAATAGATAAAGGATATGCAGCTGATTTATATACCTACCACATATGTTATCAAAAACTTCCACATAAAACCTATTTTAAGGCATGCAAATTTAATATATTAAGAAAGTCAGTATGCAAAGTATCTTAAAGTGCTCTCTTCACTAATGCGTGTAACAAAATATACTGATTATGCAAGTACATTTAATTTGACATAATTAAAATAATGAGGTTTAAATACTGATTTTTTTAAAAAGAAAAAATAGAAATTGAAATTAGCCACGAGATGCGTTCAAAATATTAATGAAATGTTATTACCACTTTAGTGTACAATACTTCTAGTTTAAAAAAGAGCTGCTACTGGCCATTGTTGTCTAGTTCTCAACACATAGTTTAGAGATGTATTCCCTTGGTGACATAAAAGATTTCACTGGATAACATAATAATTCTTTGCATTTGGTTAACATCTCTTTTACAAATAACTTAAAAAGCTACAAAGCAACCACTATTTTCTTTAAAGGAAGGCAATGAATGACCAAAAAGATAAGAAAGCAAATTTTCCACAGGAAGAGTTGTGCATAGTTACATGGATACAATCTCAAAAGCTGTCACTAATGTCATCGTGACCTAAAGATATCAAATTTAGGTATGCTCTCAACTCCAGTGGCTTTAAAGAGGCTGAGGAAGACCGATGACATATGAAAAGATCAGGTCTGCAGCTGTGAGGCCATATTCACTTTACTTAGTTTAAAGTTTCAAAGGAGCCTACTGTCTCTAACGTCACTGAAGAAGGAAAGGTAGGAGCAAAATTCAATAGGGTAGAAGACTCTGAAACTTCTATTAGATTTATTTTCTGACCGCTGTCTAGCTCACTAGTAACAGTACGGAAAAAATAACATAAGAGTAACTTTCATTAAATTGGCTTGAGGCTAAAGCTTTGTTTGGAAGCATGTCCAATTTTCCATATTATAGAAATGAAAAAGGAAGCTTTGAGGTCTACGTGGACCTAAACTCCGTAAAATTCTTAGAAAAAGACCAATGTCTTCAATTAACTCCAGCCATTAAAATAAAAGAGTTAGCATTACCATTTACTGTGAGGAAACGGAAACACCAAATTAAAGTGTTGAGTCCACAGCCACACAACTAGGAAGCAGAGCAAAAGGAAAAGACAAAAACTCTGGAATGAGCATCATAAATTCTGTATTGAATTCCAGGTTAAAATCATCAAACTCCATTCAGATACAATTTCAAATTCAGAATACTGCTATGCAAGGATCACAAAGGATCAGTTAAAATTTGTAAGGATGAGGTACACTTTCAGGGTTTTTTTTCTTTTTTAAAGAATTTAACTTTTGCTTTCAACCTTTATCAGATTCCAAATGGAAGTAGTACTTCAAACAGCTAAGGGCTCAACACATGAAAGCTTGTACATAGCAATAATATTCTCCATGACCCAAGGGCTAAGAATCCTAACCTCTCCAAACAGCACATGATGCACACCAGAGGGTCTCAGTGTTTTCAACCCATTTATTGAAAAAGCACTTGCTGAGCTGCATGAAAATGAGAAAAATAACATCAGTTCACTAGAGGCACAACAGTACAAAATGTCTATCAAAATTCATTGAGATAATGACAAAATCAGGATAGAAAAAGGAATTAATGCAGCTCAACAATATTCAGAAGATGAATACAATTCCTGTCAAAAATATAATATCCCAAAATCATTTAGTGTGATTGGCAGCATCAAATAAGGGAAAATGAACTTCTATTTCAAGATGCAGTTGCTTCTTTTCTAAGAGCTCATGTTTGTAGTGCTCCTCCTGTGCACCAGATGTCTGCCCCCAGGCTCTGAAACACCTAGCAAACCACACAGGGAAGCCACGGGCCTCCCAATGCCTTGATGATGCAGTTTGGAAGGTACCAAAAATAAAATAAATGTTAAAACCTGTTGTTTTACCTTCAAGTGAAACCATTAGACACAGTTACACTAAAATATTTTGGAAAAGAAAACTGCAACTAATATTATGAAATAAGCAAGTCAAGATGATTTTTGTAAAAAGCAAGTAGGTCTTTTGTGGGTTGACACCTCGACCCTGAAAATGAGAGAATTCTGTTACTTCACTGCTCATCATTCTATGTGTTAGTACAGTAAACACTCCCTTTGCTCCACATGCAAAATGTAATGTGCTTAGATAATTGCTGGTCAGGTCATGAAGTTCTGAAACAACCTTATCCACAGGCATATGATCCTGAATAATACAATTTTTGATCTTAAAGAAAAAAGAGGAATCAATAAAGAAGAGTTAAAGTTGTTTCTTAGTTTTCATTTAAAAAAGTCTAAAATGAATTCATCACATTTGGGATGCAAAATGCTAAAACAAAATAAAGATTTCAGTAAAGTCCTTCCTTTAATTCGCAGGCATTTAGCTCTTATAAAGGTAAAGATAGAAATATCTCAGCATGAAAGAAAGACCTTTCCTTCCTGAAACTCTACAGACAAAACTGTCTTATGAGAAGCCTCTTGAGAAGATATAAAAGGCTTAGCTCTTTCAACTTATATTAAAATTCAAATAAAATATTTACTATATATCTACTACTTATGCATATATGTATAGTCAAATAGAAAAATAACAATATTTACAAGTAAGGCAGCGTGGCAAGGGAGTAGAGAGCACAGGTTCTAGATTCAGGCTACATGTTTGAATCTTAGCTCTAAGAGTTAGTAGCTGGCAAGTTCCTTATCCTTTCTAGGTTTCAGTTCCCTCAAATAATAAAACAGAGGTAATAATTATGCCTACTATCCAGGCTAATTCTGAGGATTAATTGAGCTATAACAAAGTGCTTAGAACAATGCTGATGTCATAAGTGCTTAATGTTAGCCATTATTATTACTTTACATTAGCTTTCTCATTTAATGCTTATGACAGACCTGTGAGGTAAGTATTATTACTCTCACCCCATAAGGTGAGGCAGGTTAAGTAATTTGACCAAAGTCCCACAGAGGTAAAGCAGAATTTGCCTACAGATCTGTCCAGTTCCCAGCCTATAATCTTAGTTCCCCCTAATACTTCATATGTTCCCCACTGATCTTGCTCTTATGTTATCATAACATTCATCAAGATATATTTAGATTTCCTTTTAAATGGATCTTTCACTCACAGAGTAACCTCTGAGAACAGAGACTGGGTGCTGCTTCTCCCTTCATTCATTAGTCCACCCATCCTTCCGCCCGTATGTCCGTATTTCAGAGCCTATTACGTGTCATGCCTTGTGCTGGGCGCTGGGATATCAAGCTGAATAGAACAGGCTCCATGTCTTCATGAAACTTGAAGTCCACCCAAAAAGACACATAATTAAATAAACATATAATAATTATAAACTGTTACAGTTGTAATGAAGGAAAAGAAAAGGGTACTAGAAAAGGCATAAGAGATGAACTTCATTCAGTTGGCGGAAAATCATAAAAGGGCTTTCTGAAGAAGGGACACTTAAGCTGAGATGAGGAGGCTGAAGAGGAGGAGTTAGCCAGGCAAAGAGATGGGGACAGAAACCACTGTGCACAGGACCCTAAGAAGAGACTTCACCTGGTGCGTGAGGAAGCAAAGAAGCAGGTTGGCAGCCAAATTGTGAGCTACCAGCAGAGTGAGTGCTATGAGATGAGAAGGGAGAGGTGAGACCAGAACACCCAGGAGTACTGTGAATTGGGAGTTTATCCTCAGTTCAATGGGAACTTCAGTTGGTTTTTAGAAAGACCACTCTACTGCAGTCTGGAGACTAGAATGAAAGAGGACAAGAGAAGAAGCTGGAAGTCCACTGGGAAGCTCTAAGAGTGGGGCAGGCAAATGTGATGGTGGTTTGGGACTAGCAGGGTAGTAGCAAGCGTGGGGAGAAGTATACAAATTCGAGGTATATCAAATCCCCCATGCCTAACACGATGCCTGACAATAAGAGGAATTCAATTACCTATCGACTGAATGAACGAGTAATTCCTCAAGCAGAGCTGTTGCTGGTTATCAAGCCCCAACTACCCCATATGCATAATCATCCAGTGGGCATGGGAGACATAGAAAGATGCTGAGGAAATGATGACTAAATCTGTAAACCAGCTGGCAAGACTTCACTTATGAAAACTTCTTGATGTATAAATGTATCTTTGTGAAACAAAATGCCTCTCCCATTCTGACAATGAAAAATTTTAGAAGCCAGATACCTTTCTGTTATGTGACTTTCCAAGCTTGTTAGAGAAATGTATTATTTAAAATAGCCTAGAGCTATGCTGCCAGAAACATAGTAAAACACTGAGGGTGCTGAAAGAAAGCCCTTTCATTTAAGGGGGAAAAAAAGCAGTGCAGCAATGCATAGAAAGACAATCCATACTTGTTATTCCACTTTCCTTCCTGTAAAAACATGATCTCTGTCACTACTTCCTAAAACAGCACTATATTTTGATTGTCTATCAGTAACAAATTCAAATAGAGAGTTAGCATATTTTCTCACAATCTGATAAATTCCCAAGGTCAGGAGAGAGAATGTCTTCCCCATGTTATTTAATAATTTTGATCTTTAATCCATAAGATATCTATTTTGTTAAAACTATAAAACTGAAACCATTTGGAAAATCCAAATGTTTGTCCATGTAGATAAGAGAACAAGGTAATCTACTTCTATAGTCAACTGAATTTAAAATATAGTCATTATCCCCAACACCCCTCGAAATGTTTTCCTATCCTTAAATAGGTCAAGAGCATCAGTAATAGGATAAGAAAGAAGTCATCAGGTTGACTCAGATATCAACTGCTCTCTGGCTAGGACTAAGTTAAACCTAAGATATTCATTGATTTCTCAATAATTAAAGCTTTAAGTTTTTTTTTGTTTTTGTTTTTGTTTTTGTTTTTTTTGAGACGGAGTCTCGCTCTGTCACCCAGGCTGGAGTGCAGTGGAGCAATCTCGGCTCACTGCAAGCTCCGCCTCCCGGGTTCACGCCATTCTCCTGCCTCAGCCTCCCGAGTAGCTGGGACTACAGGCGCCCGCCACCACTCCCGGCTAATTTTTGTATTTTTAGTAGAGATGGGGTTTCACCATGTTAGCCAGGATAGTCTCGATCTCCTGACCTCGTGATCCACACACCTTGGCCTCCCAAAGTGCTGGGATTACAGGCTTGAGCCGCCGTGCCTGGCCAGCTTTAAGTTTTTTTAAATTAGTTAAGACAGTCTATTGCCTTGGCTAAAGTAATAAGCTCTAGTGTTTGGGGGCACAAATGAAGCTTAATTTTGCATAGAAAAAGAGGGCTCATCGGCAAAAGATTCTGTTCTAAGGTTCAGCCAAATGTCTTGTACAATTTTGATCAAAAGGCCAACTACCAGCACCCTCACCACTGCTTCTGATAGGGAGATAAGAAGAATAACTGGGCCTATATGGGATTCTATGGGTTGTTAAGGAGCTTAAAAATAAAGTATAATTTACCTTCTTCCATTTGGCAGGAACCACTTTTCCCTACACTGAAAATAAAGTTTTGTGTGATCCCCTCTACCTTTAGCATGCCTTTGGAGTCTTGAAAATGCTTTTTCTGCAGAACCAGAAAGTGATACGTGAGTGCATCAAACAATGCTTTAGTCCTGTTACTCTAAGAGCTATTTTAAAGAAACCTAGTGACCATGGCAGATGATGAAAGAAGATCTTAGTAAAAAGTTTACTGAGATTTAAGACTGAATAAAACAAACGTATAAATTGTTCTATCTATCTTTTATCACCCAAGAAGACAAGATTGTATATTGATAGCTAAAATTCATATGTTAACAACATATAAACAAATCATTAATATCTAAATTCATATAAATTAAAAGAAATGAATATTTCTCAAATTTATGTCACTCTCATTTTATTAAGAAAGCTCTTCTTCTTAGTTTGTACCAAACTTACTTAGTAAAAGTAGTATAAAATCATCTTTCAAGAGGTGGCTGGCAATATGGCTGAATAGGAACAGCTCTGGTCTGCAGCTCCCAGTGAGATCAACCCAGAAGGCAGGTAATTTCTGCATTTCCAACTGAGGTACCCAGCTCATCTCACTGAGACTGGTTGTACAATGGGTGCAGCCCAAGGAGGGCGAGCCAAAGCAGGGTAGGGTGTCACCTCACCTGGGAAGCACAAGGGTTCGGGGAACTCCTTCCCCTAGCCAAGGGAAGCGGTGAGGGACTGAGCCATGGGGAGCAATGCATTCCAGCCCAGATACTACACTTTTCCCACGGTCTTCACAACCTGCAGACCAGGAGATTTCCTTGGGTGCCTACACCACCAGGGCCCTAGGTTTCAGGCCCAAAACTGGGCAGCTGTTTGGGCAAACACCGAGATAGCTGCAGGAGTTTTTTTTTCATATCCCAGTGGCACCTGGAATGCCAGCGAGACAGAACCATTCACTCCCCGGGAAAGGGGGCTGAAGCCAGGAAGCCAAGTGGTCTAGCTCAGCAGATCCCACCCCTACAGAGTCCAGCAAGCTAAGATCCACTGGCTTGAAATTCTCGCTGCCAGCACAGCAGTCTAAAGTCAATCTGGAACACTCGAGCTTGGTGGGGGGAGGGGCATCCACCATTACTGAGGCTTGAGTAGGCGGTTTCCCCTCACAGTGAAAACAAAGCCACCTGGAAATTCGAACTAGGCAGAGACCACTGCAGCTGGGCAAAGCTTCTGTAGCCAGACTGCCTCTCCAGATTCCTCCTCTCCAGGCAGGGCATCTCCAAAAGAAAGGCAGCAGCCCCAGTCAGGCACTTATAGATAAAACCCCCATCTTCCTGGGATGGAGCACCTGGGGGAAGGGGCGGCTGTGGGCACAGCTTCAGCAGACTTAAACGTTCCTGCCTGCTGGCTCTGATGAGAGCAGTGGATCTCCCAGCACAGCACTCGAGCTCTGCTAAGGGACAGACTGCCTCCTCAAGTGGGTCCCTGACTCCCATACCTCCTGACTAGGAGACACCTCCCAGCAGTGGTCAACAGACACCTCATACAGGAGAGCTCCAGCTGGCATCTGGCAGGTGTGCCTCTGGGATGAAGCTCCCAGAGAAAGGAACAGGCGGCAATCTTTGCTGTTCTGCAGCCTCCACTGGTGATACCTAGGCAAACAGGGTCTGAAGTGGACCACTGCAAACTCCAGCAGACCTGCAGCAGAGGGGCCTGACTGTTAGAAGAAAAACTAACAAGCAGAAAGGAATAGTATCAACATCAACAAAAAGGATGTCCACACAAAAACCCATCCGAAGGTCACCAACATCAAAGACCAAAGGTAGATAAATCCACAAAGATGAGGAAAAACCAGCGCAAAAGGCTGAAAATTCCAAAAACCAGAATGCCTCTTCTCCTCCAAAGAATCACAACTCCTTGCCAGCAAGGGAATAAAACTGGATGGAGAATGAGTTTGATGAACTGACAGAAGTAGGCTTGAGAAGGTGGGTAATAACAAACTCCTCCAAGCTAAAGGAGCATGTTTCTTACCCAATGCAAGGAAGCTAAGAACCTTGAAAAAAGGTTGGAGGAATTGCTAACTAGAATAACCAGTTTAGAGAAGAACATAAATGACCTGATGGAGCTGAAAAACACAGCACAAGAATTTCGTGAAGCGTACACAGCTATCAACAGCCAAATCATTCAAGCAAAAGAAAGGATATCAGAGATTGAAGATCAACTTAAGGAAATAAAGGGTGAAGACAAAATTAGATTAAAAAGAATGAAAATGAACGAAAAGAGCCTCCAAAAATATGAGACTATGTGAAAATACCAAACCTATGTTTGATTGGTGTACCTGAAAGTGATGGGGAGAATGGAATCAAGTTGGAAAACACTTTTCAGGATATTAACCAGGAGAACTTCCCCAACCTAGCAAGACAGGCCAACATTCAAATTCAGGAAATACAGAGAACACCACAAAGATATTCCTTGAGAAGAGCAACCCCAAGACACATAATTATCAGATTCTCCAAGGCTGAAATGAAGGAAAAAATGTTAAGGGCAGCCAGAGAGAAAGGTTAGATTACCCACAAAGGGAAGCCCATCAGACTAACAATGGATCTCTCTGCAGAAACTCTACAAGCCAGAAGAGAATGGGGGCCAATATTCAATATTCTTAAAGACTTTTCAACCCGGAATTTCATATCCAGTCAAACTAAGCTTCATAAGCAAAGGAGAAATAAAATCCTCTACAGACAAGCAAATGCTGAGCGATTTTGTCACCACAAGGCCTGCCTTACAAGAGCTCCTCAAGGAAGCACTAAATATGAAAAGGAAAAACTGGTACCAGCCACTGCAAAAACATACAAAATTTTAAAGATCATTGACACTATGAAGAAATTGCATCAACTAAGGGGCAAAATAACCAGCTAGCATCATAATGACAGGATCAAATTCACACATAACAATATTAACCTTAAATGTAAACAAGCTAAATGCCCCCAATTAAGACACAGTCTGGCAAATTGGATGAAGAGTCAAGAACCATCAGTGTGCTGTATTCAGCAGATTCATCTTCCATGCAAAGACACACATAGGCTCAAAATAAAGGGATGGAGGAATATTTACCAAGAAAATGGAAAGAAAACAAAAGCAGGGGTTGCAATCCTAGTCTCTGATAAAACAGACTTTAAACTATCAAAGATCAAAAAAGACAAAGAAGGGCATTACATAATGGTAAAGGGATAAACGCAACAAGAAGAGCTAACTACCCCAAATATATATACACCCAATACAGGAGTACTCAGATTCATAAAGCAAGTTCTTAGAGACCAACAAAGAGACTTAGACTCCACAAAATAATAGTGGGAGACTTTAACACCCCACTGTCAATATTAGACAGCTCAATGAGACAGAAAATTAACAAGGATATTTAGGACTTGAACTCAGCTCTGGACCAACCAGAACTAATAGACATCTACAGAACTCGCCACCCCAAATCAACAGAATATACATTCTTCTCAGTACCACATTGCACTTATTCTAATATCAACCACATAATAGGAAGTAAAACATTCCTCAGCAAATGCAAAAGAATGGAAATCATAACACAGTCTCTCAGACCACAGTGCAATCAAATTAGAATTCAGGATTAAGAAACTCACTCAAAACCCCACAACTACATGGAAACTGAACAACCTGCTCTTGAATGACTACTGGGTAAATAATGAAATCAAGGCAGAAATAAATAAGTTCTTTGAAACCAATGAGAACAAAGACACAATGTACCAGAATCTCTGAAACACAGCTAAAGCAGTGTTTAGAAGTAAATTTATAGCACTAAATGCCCACATCAGAAAGCGGGAAAGATCTAAAATCGACACCCTAACATCACAATTAAAAGAACTAGAGAAGCAAGAGCAAACAAATTCAAAAGCTAGCAGAAGGCAAGAAATAACTAAGATCAGAGCAGAACTGAAGGAGATAGAGACATGAAGAACCCTTCAAAAAACCAATGACTTCAGGAGCTAGTTTTTTGAAAAGATTAACAAAATAGATAGACCACTAGCCAGACTACTAAAGAAGAAAAGACAGAAGAATCAAAAAGACACAATAAAAAAGGATAAAGGGGATTTCACCACTGATCCCACAGAAAAACAAACTATCATCAGAGAATACTATAAACACTTCTATGCAATAAAACAACTAGAAAATCTAGAAGAAATGGATAAATTCCTGGACACATATAACCTCCCAAGACTAAACCAGGAAGAAGTTGAATCCCTGAGTAGACTAATAACAATTCCTGAAATTGAGGCAGTAATTAATACCCTACCAACCAAAGAAAGCCCAGAACCAGACAGATTCACAGCCAAATTCTACCAGAGGTACAAAGAGGATCTGGTACCAGTTCTTCTGAAACTATTCCAAACAACAGAAAAAGAGGGACTCCTCCCTAACTCATTTTATGAGGCCAGCATCATCCTGATACCAAAACCTGACAGAGACACAACAAAAAAGAGAAAATTTCAGGCCAATATCCCTGATGAACATGGATGCAAAAAGCTTATCCACCACAATCAAGTTGGCTTCATCCCTGGGATGCAAGGCTGGTTCAACATACGCAAATCAATCAACATAATCCATCACATAAACAGAACCAATGACAAATACCTCATGATCTCAACAGATGCAGAAAAGGCCTTCGATAAAATTCAATATCCCTTTGTGCTAAAAGTTCTCCATAAACTAGGTATTGATGGAATGTATCTCAAAATAATAAGAGGTATTTATGACAAACCCATAGCCAATATCATACTGAATGGTCAAAAGCTGGAAGCATTCCCTTTGAAAACTGGCACAAGACAAGGATGCCCTCTCATCACTCTTATTCAACACAGTATTGGTAGTTCTGGCCAGAGCAATCAGGCAAGAGAAAGAAATAAAGGGTATTCAAATAGGGAGAGAGGGAGTCAAATTGTCCCTCTTTGCAGATGACATGATTGCATATTTAGAAAACCCCATCGTCTCAGCCCAAAAACTTAAGCTGATAACCAACTTCAACAAAGTCTCAGGATACAAAATCAATGTGCAAAAATCATAAGCACTCCTATACACCAATAATAGACAAACAGAGAGCCAAATCATGAGTGAACTCCCATTCACAAGTGCTACAAAGAGAATAAAATATCTAGGAATAAAACTTACAAGGGATGTGAAGGACCTCTTCAAGGAGAACTATAAACCACTGCTCAAGGAAATAAGAGAGGACACAAACAAATGGAAAAACATCCCATGCTCATGGATAGGAAGAATCAATATTGTGAAAATGGCCTTACTGCCCAAGGTAATTTATAGATTCAATGTCATTCCCATCAAGCTACCACTGAATTAGAAAAAACTACTTTAAATTTCATATGGAACCAAAAAAGAGCCCATATAGCCAAAACAATCCTAAGCAAAAAGAACAAAGCTGGAGGCATCATGCTACCTGACTTCTACCTATACCACAAGGCTACAGTAACCAAAACAGTATGGTACTGGTACCAAAACAGATATATAGACCAATGGAACAGAACAGAGGCCTCAGAAATGATGCTACACATCCACAACCAGTTGATTTTTGACAAACCTGACAAAAACAAGAAATGGGGAAAGGATTCCCTATTTAATAAATGGAGTTGGGAAACTGGATAGCCAAATGCAGAATACTGAAACTGGACCCCTTCCTTACACCTTATACAAAAATTAACTCAAGATAGATTAAAGACTTAAATGTAAAACCTAAAACCATACAAACCCTAGAAGAAAACCTAGGCAATACCATTCAGGACATAGGCATGGGCAAAGACTTCATGACTAAAACACCAAAAGCAATGGCAACAAAAGCCAAAATTGACAAATGGGATCTAATTAAACTAAAGAGCTTCTGCACAGCAAAAGAAACTATCATCAGAGTGAACAGGCAACCTACAGAATGGGAGAAAATTTTTGCAATCTACCCATCTGACAAAGGGCTAATATCCAGAATCTACCAGGAACTTAAACCAATTTACAATAAAAAAAAAAAAACTCCAGCAAAAACTGGGCAAAGGATATGAACAGACACTTCTCAAAAGAAGACATTTATGTGGGCAACAAATATGCGAAAAAAAGCTCATCATCACTGGTCTTGAGAGAAATGCAAATCAAAACCACAATGAGATACCATCTCATGCCAGTTAGAATGGCGATCATTAAAACGTCAGGAAACAACAGATGCTGGAGAGGATGTGGACAAACAGGAACGCTTTTATACTGTTGGTGGGAGTCTAAATTAAACCACTGTAGAATAAATGTGGCGATTCCTCAAGAATCTAGAACCAGAAATACCATTTGACCCAGCAATCCCATTACCTGGTATATACCCAAAGGATTATAAATCATTCCACTATAAAGACACATGCACACGTATGTTTATTACGGCACTGTTCACAACAGCAAAGACTTGGAACCAATCCAAATGCCCGTCAATGATAGACTGGATAAAGAAAATGTAGCACATATGCACCACGGAATACTATGCAGCTGTAAAAGAGGATGAGTTCATGTCCTTTGCAGGGACATGGATGAAGCTGGAAACCATCACTCTCAGTAAACTAACACAGGAACAGAAAGCGAAACACCACATGTTCTCACTCATAAGTAAGAGGTGAACAATGAGAAAACATGGACACAGGGAGGGGAACATCACACACCAGGGCCTATCAGGGGCTGGGGGGCTAGGGGAGGGATAGCATTAGGAGAAATGCCAATAATAATGTAGATGACGGGTTGATGGGTGCAGCGAACCACCATGGCACGTGTATACCCATGTAACAAACCTGCACGTTCTGCACATGTATCCCATAACTTAAAGTATAATAATAATAAGAATCCTGTCCCAAGCAAAAAGAAGAATGTGAAGAAATATAAGTGTGGAAAACCATGAAGTTTGAAAATAGACCAGCTTGGCCAATGGATTGAAATTGTGTAACATCCAAAAGAGTGATGCAGAACTACCTAGATGGAATGGAAAGATGTCTTACATAGCTACAGGCATATCTTGTTTTACTGAGCTTTGCTTTATTGCACTTTGCAGATATTATGTTTGTTACAAATTGAAGGTTTGTAGCAACCCTGTGTCAAGAAATCTATCAGTGCCATTTTTATAACAGCATGTGCTCACTTTGTGTCTGTAGGTCACATTTTTGTAATTCCTGCAATATTTCAAACTTTTTCAGTATTATTTATCTGTTAGGGTGACCTATGATAGTGATCTTTCATGTTGTAATTGTTTTGGGGTGCCATGAACAAACCCCATATAAGATGGTGAACTTGATTAATAAATATTGTGTGTTTGATGGCTTCACTGAAAAAAAATCATCTTTTACTTAGTAAAAGCAGTATAGAATCATCTTCCTTAATAAGAAAAATCATTTATTCTGGCATGGAAAATAAAAACCTAAGCTCAGACCTTGGACAGCTATTAATTACAAAGAAGAATAAGAAAATAGCATACCTTAAATGTAATGGTTAATTTAAAGTATATAAATTTATTAATAAAATCTTCAACAATACTCAATTCTATGCAAGCGTACCAATCAAATGTTATTTTCATTCTCAATAACATCTCACATAATAGATAGCTCAACTGAGTAAAGGTTGTATATTTTCATTTTTGCTAAACAATCTCCATTTAAAACAAATATATTGCTAGCTGCTATATGTAAATAGGAAGGAGTAATACTTCTAGACAAAGTAAATATTATTAAAATAAGATATTTCAATCAATTTTTGACCAACCATAGTTTTGAATAGCAGACCGTACAAAACATAACATCGCCCTTCATTCAAACCAAAATCTCAAACTTTTGGATTATATATTTCTTCAAGTTATAGGTCATTTATTGTCAAAATAATAATCCTTTGATATTTTCTTAAACAGATGAAATTTGCTTTCTTTTCCTAGGGAAATGCCAGACTATAGTGATATCCAAGAAATATGATTAAATTAGTTTAATTACTTGATGTTGACTTGATGTAAGTCACTGCTCTTTAATGCAAAAACTGTCACTTGCAATTAATGATTGTTGGTACTGCTTCAATTGATCAAATGTCTAATACACACAAAACATTCAAAGAAGTTCTGTATATCTTACAGCAATTCAGTGGAGAAGTCTTGTCCCAGGGGTACGTAAATCTGAAGTACAAGAAACCTCTGGATCAATCCAACTAGAATGAAGAGGAAATACACATTCAAATGTTCGAAGCATTTATATGTGCATATAAACAAACACAATCACAAACCACGAACAAGCTGAAGATTTTAGCATTTCAGTAATACATAGAACTGCAAATAGCACTACCTATGAGTTACAACCTCATTACGAAAGCAAAAAAAATTGATGAAAATAAAATCAAACTTACAACAAATGTCTTTTAAAGTTCCATCTGTGGCCTTCGTGAAATTTTTATTAAAATTTCAAAAATAATAAGTTTTTATTATTTTTATTAGGTTGCAAGAGAATGTACACATAGAACTGCATTCAACAGAGACATATAAAATTGAACTATAAATTCCATTCAAGGCAGCCATAAAAGCATGTGGCAATTATTTTTATTCACTGGCAGTTTTAACTGTACTAAACAACTTAATAAAAAACAATAGATCAAGAAAACAATTCTAATTATGACAACTACAACTGAAGGTTTGATGAGCCATAGCTAATTCATATGGTTTTAAATGTGTCCACAATGAGATGAATAGAGGATCATATTTTCATTTAAACCTTTTGTTAATTAACATATATTTAATTAATTTAATGTTCACTGAGAACTGATAGCTTTTATTCCCTATTACTAGCTTCATCTGGATTAAAAATATTTGCAGAGAAACCAGTCCCTACAGCATTTTTGACAGCTAAATTCTACAACTGCTTAAAAAATCAATTGATTTTATATTACCTCTCCAGATCTGTTCACTTAATGCCTTTCCTCTTAGGTTTTGAACTTTTGCTTGATCTCTCAATTATGGTGCTCTTAACAGATGTTTTTAGTATGACACTTCCTAAAACATGCAATTTACAAACATATTTTCCTGCTGTGGGACTTTTTGGGTAGAAAATGGAGATGTCTTGATTTATCTGTGAACCTCTCCTACAAAGCCAATAGTACAGACCAACACGTGGATTAAAGACAAAAAAAAGGCAACTAGTCTAAAACTCATGCTATTTTATATTATTCCAACTTAGTACGCTTAACAAATTAAGGGATTTTAAAGTAACAACACGTTTTTGGATAGTCTATATAAAGAACTTCTGGTATATGATTCCCATTTTGCAACATTCCTGAACAACTTATAACAGTTCCTATGTTTTATCCCAGATTTACATTCTAAACAATAAACATATTTGATCAAATATGCATAACATTTTTATCAAACATACAGGGATAACCTTTACTTAAAAGTACTAAGCTTCTGCTTAGTACTCTCCAGAGGGCCATCAGTAGTGTAAGCAATGTAACAGAAATAAGAGATCACAGGCCTTGATCCTAGAAAATTCTCTAGAAATCTGACTTTACCATATTTATGGGAAAAGCCAGTGAGGCAAGCAGAGCTCTGGTCTACAAAAGCAAAGTGAGATACCAAAATGAGGCCAACTTAAATAAACCATCCTCAATGAATCTCTCTTGCATCTTGCATTGATTGGCCCCACAGTATTTTTCCATTGCACAATGGCCTCTGTAAATAGAGCTGAGAGAACAGCAGGATAAGTGAAATCAGTCTTTAAAAAAGGTCCCTAATTTATGTCACAAATCTCACTGAATCAGCACTGTTCTCTTCAAACACAAAGAGTTACACACATAGGGCATTTTTATATGAGCATTTTTAGATATAAAAGAGTTCTTACCCTCAAAAAAAGAAAGTTTTGTAATTCAACTTTCTCACATATAGAAGCCCCAGTTTCCAAAACGTTTCACTTCTAAGATTAAAAGAAATATTATGATACCATATGGTGATGATCTGACAAAAAAAAAGTACTTTAATAACATTTGACACAGACTGATCCTGTGTGTCAGATGCTAAATAAATTCTATAGTAACATTTTTTTCCAGTGGCTTAGTATATTTAAACTGACTATTCATGTCTACATTATATTTAAAATCACTCTCTCTAAGTAATGTTGAATGTGGAAATTCTGTTAGTCAAAAATGTCCATCAAGTACATAAAATTCATAAAAATTTAGTTTCTTCCTGAAATATGCAGCTTTTTACAGTTTTATAATCTGTTGTCTGTCAGAAACAAACTACCTACTTTTTTTCTCCCACTTCAACACACAAAACAGGAATTAGTTATCTGTTCATCATGGGCTATTCCATATCCCTTGAGCAAATTAGAAAACCTGTGTGGGCCCTTTTACTTTTCATCTGTAAAAACTGGGTTAATAGTTTAGATTTACAACTCATAGGATTATTTATATGGATTAAATTAGGTCTACCATGCAACGAAGATTACTGAGCACCTACTACGTACAAGACTCAATGCTGAAGTTTTTGCAGTAAATAAGACATACATGCTCTCTGACCTTTTAGAATTTATATTCTAGCTCCATGAAGGAGAAAGTCAGGGTGCTATGAAAGCATATAACCCTGGGTCCTTGCAGGAGAAGAGGATGATTAGTGAAGCTTTTCTTGAAGGACAAGCATTGAAACTCAGCTGGGATGAATACACAGGAATTGACTGGGCAAGCGGGATGGGTGTAGGAGAGAGGAACAAACGTTGCTGGCAGAGGGAGTACTCCATCCTATGATGGAAAAGGATGGAGTAGATTGGATAAACCTAAAAAGGGCTTAATGGGCTGATAGGAGAGACAGAAGAGGAAATGCAGCAGGAGACGGGTTTGGCAAAGTAGAGAGGAAACCAATTATGTGGGGTCTTGAAGACCATGTGAAGAATATAAGTCATCCTAAAATCAATGGTAAACCCCTCGTACATTAATTCATTTATTCGACAAAGATTTACTGAATGTCTATTCTCGGGGGTAAATGCTGTAGGTAGAGGGTACAGTCTGTGCATGGGTGCCAAGGTGATAGTGCACTGGACTATGTTTCAAAACAGCAATGGGACCTGTATGGTTGCAAAAGCACGAACGAGAAAAAGAGTAATAGGAAATAGGTCAGAACTAAGAAGGGCACCAGATACTGCAGAGTCCTGTAGGTTTTTGAGTTTTAATCTGAGAGAGATGGGACATTTTTAGTGGAGGAGTAACATTACTTATGTGTTTCTTACAATTTAAAAGTATTACTCTGGCTGCTAATTTGACAATAGACTGTAATACAGAGGCCAAGTCAGAAACAGGGAGACCAATTAGGTTACTACAATAATCCAAGCATGAGATACTGGTGGCTTTGGCCAGTAGCACTGGAGGTACCAAGAAGTGATCAGACTCTCAACCTATTTTAAACATAGTGCCAACAAGACCTTCCAGATAGACTGAATGAAGAGAAAGAAAAATCAAAGCTGATTTAAAAGCTTTTTTTCTAAGCAACTGAAAAGATAAGTTGCTAACAGCAGAAATGGGGCAGCCTGCAGGAGAAGGAATTTCGAGGAGTAAAGACCAGAAGTTAGGCTTTGGACATATTGTATTTCAGCTGTCCAAGCGTAGAAATGTCAAGTAAGTAAGATGATATTCAAGAAGTCTAGAGTTAGGAGAGAAGTCTGAGCTGGAAATGTAAGCTAGAGTAAGACAGAGATGGCATTTAAATCCATGAGCTGGAAGCTGATAACCAAGGGAGTAAGTGTAGATAGAGTGCCAACGACTGAGTCCAGGGACGCTGCAACATTAATTCAAGTTGGGGAAAAGAGGAAGAACCACAAAAGGAGGCTAAGAAAGAAGAACAGTGAAATGGGAAGAAAACTAGGAGTATGGACATCTTGGGTATGAGTGAGGAAAATATAAGAAGGAGGTGTCAACTTTCTCAAATGATGCTAATATGTGAAGTAAGATGAGGGCTGAGAACTGTCCACCGGATTCAGGAAAATAGAGGCAGATCAAAGCCACTGAGGGGTTTTAAACAGAGGAAGTCATGACAAGATAAAAATGATACTAAAGTGGGGGCTTGAGGAGGCCTGGGGAAACCTCATAAAGGTGACCTCATCCTCCAGAGCAGCTGAAATGCAGAACAATGCCAGGCTTCAGGGATGCTACTCCCCCGAGACACATCATTTGATTCAGATGCCACAGGCAGAGAAAACAATGGTTTCAAACATGAGCCTCCAACAGAAAGCTCTGAAGAAGACCCTCCAAATGACATATGTTTATGTGTGACAGAGCTGCTCCTCATATGGGCAACTCTACATAATGTGTTCCAGAGTGAAGAGCAGCAGGGATTTATTTATTTAGCTGGTGAAGAGTTTACTCAAGTCTCATTATCAAGGCCAACTGGTTACAATGAAAAATTATGACCCAAATTGTCATAGTTTCATAGTATGGCAAATTTAACAAACTTATTGAACACCAACCATGTACCAGGCACTGAGTTAAGGGTACAAAGAAGATGATTCAGGAAGATCCCTGCCCTAGAGAAGTGCACAATTCTGATAAGTAATATCACAATTTCCTTTATTTTATGTGTTTGAGATCCTCAAATACAAGTTAAATCAGAAATATTATTTTTTAAAACAAAAAACATACTTAATTTCATTACTAAACTTTCTTCCTAAGTAGTACCTAATACAGACAGAAACACAAATAGGGTACCTAATGTCAAGTTTGCATAAATAAAGTGGATGTTTACTCTTAAAATAGGAATACATAACGGTAATTGAATTTATAAATGTTAATTAAAAGCCAATTATCTATTCAAGGCATGTCATTCAATTTAAATTTAACCATACAAACTTCACATAGAAGGTCATTTTACACAAGTAAAAATAGCTATAAATTTCTGTTATCAAAAATTCCAAATAACCTTAAAGGCATCAGTGCAGGGCAGACTATATAAACTGTTTCATTTGTTACAGTGCTACACATGATATAGAAAAGCCAGATTAACTTTTAATTATAAGGCATTGTACAAGAAATACATTAAAAGATTTTTCTGTTTTTTTACAATTAAAACGATCATCTTTCCATTTAAAAAAGTAATTATGATACATTAAACTTGGTTTATTTCTTAAAAAAAAAACTTCAGATAAAAATGGAAAAGCAGAGCTTGTATTTAATCATTCAGTCTTTAGTAGAGAAGGAATCTATCTCAGAATCAAATGAGAAAGGTTACTAAAAGTGATTGATTTTTTTAATAAGGTAACCATGTGCATACATACTGAGGGCATTAAATGAAAATACAGGTGGGCTTTATAAGTTCAGAAAAAAACAAAAGAACTAACACTGGCTTAGAACAAAGTCATATTCCTGAAAGTCAAATGTATCTACATGTCTTACAAAACCAATATCCTTAAAAAGATGTCCTGTGCCTCTTGCAAGAAGATGAAACCACAGTTTCAGACAGGTTTCCCTGGATCATCTTAGTTCACCTCATTTATAAGTACAAATATATATGGAAATGCAAAAAACCTCCTATTACAGACACACACACACACACACACACACACACACACGCAGAAACTATTAGGAAAGCATAATCTTTAAGTGGCAATAAATTAAAAACTATCTTTAATGATGATATCTCTTCTTTTTTTTTCCGGTCTCTTTCGTAGTTTAGAAAGAAACACTGGCAAACCACTTTAAAATAAATCATCTTTCACTTATAACTTCTATGGCTAGTTTATGTCTTAGAAATCTAAAATATGCATGTAGTAGCTTGAAATGGCACATAAAGCACAGAACCTATATAAGTTTAGAAAACTGAATTAAAATGATAAAATCAGGTACCAACAACAGGTCTTTTTATAGAGCTTCATGCATGGTAGGTATTCGATAAATGTTCTAATGAATGAAAGAAGGAATAAGTAAATGATGAATGTAAAAAAAAAACTTTATATTTGCTAAATCACCTGAAATTTATATTTAAAACATAGGACGTAGTTGATGAAAAATCTAGTTAATCATTCTGATAAATCATATTCCTTAAATCAATCAGTTTACTCAAGGTCTAATTTAGTAGCAGAGCCTTGAATTGTAACCCTGTCTCTGCTAATAACTGGGCTTCTGATAAATCTGCGTTATCTCTCAGGGTTTCTTCTGCTTTGAAATGCTGATCTTAATTTCTAAAGTAAACAAGAATTGAAATAGATTCTATGGGTCTTTGTTAAATCACATATTCATATATATACTTTATGATTAATATTAAAAGGTAATAAGTATATGAGTTGACATGTCACTAAATTATGCTTTATATCTTACTTCTGATACATTTTTTCTCACAAATTAATTTCTTGTATTTAGGAATGCTGATTTTATTTCAAAGTTTAGCCCTGATGAGGAACCAACCTCAGTTTGTTCATTTGTAAAAGAGCTATTAGGAGGATTAAAAGAGTTCATAAATATTAAATGTTTACAAAGCTCCTGGCACATAGTAAGTGCTCAATAAATGCTATTATTATCATAATTAATGGCTGCCAAATACTCTTCTAAATCTTCTTTAAGATACTACTAGATTTCTAGAAGATGGTGAGGTAGAATATATTTTTTTAAAGGCCTAGCATAGTGCCTAGCATAGTTAGTTGCCCTCTAAATTAAAAAAAAAATTCTATCATCTTACATAAATAGATGTCAGTAGAAGTCATACTAATGTGCCTGTTTATGAGACATAAAAGCAGAACTTTGAGTACAAAATGTTAAGTTTCAATATTAAAAATATTACTTACGGCTTTGCTTATTCTCCTTTGGTAACTGAATTTTGTTTGTTTGGCTGCTGCCTTCCAGGACAAACACAAAACTTTTAACTTCTTTATCAAACTCCTATAGAACAAAATGAAAACAGTAGTTATCACAGGATATTTTATTTGGCTTCTACTATAAAATTGAAACTTCAGATCTACAGGGAAAAAAAAATCCCATATTCAAATAACTTAAAAGCAGGCTCAGGCCTTAGTACTTTTATTCCAAGACTTGCTGGGAACTAGAATACGGAGGCATGGTGAAAGGACAAAGAGCAAGGGCATTCAAGGTGTGGACTGGAAAGTGACTGAAATTATGGATGATGGATTCTGGGCTGGAGAGAAAAGGGAGATAAATAAAATAAATAAATAAATTAATTAAATCAATAAATAAAGCAAAACAAAACACAGGAAAAGTAGAACAGTCAATGGCCTAAAGTTCCCAATGAAGTTGAAGAAGAGAGTGGAGTAATTGAGCAAGCGACCTTAAGAATAAAGATTGGGATCAGAAAGGGACATTTTAATGTCTCAGTAACTTCAGAGGTCCTATAGTTTGTGGTGACAGGGAGCAGGGTAAGACAGTAGGGATGAATGCTGAAGTAGAGCGGAAGAGGTTGTTAAAGATGAAGAAATCAAGAAACTGAGAAGCCCAGGACTAGGAGAGATTTTTCTTACAGATACTGAAGTCATCTAAAATGATACACAGCAGGGCATGGAGTACATAGAAGGGTTATGACCTGTGTGCCAAAGTCTTAGACAACTGAAGAGTGGTGTCCAGGACAGCTGCAGCCAACAATGTCATGAAAGGGTTTTGGAGTGAAAGAACAGGAAAAACAGCTCTGAAATTTGATCACGCCCTTTCTTCTATAAGCTTCACTCACATTTCTTCCCCTGATTTATGTGGCTCTAATTTCTAATACTTACTTTCCAAATCACAGATGGACTACCAAGGATCTTCCATTTTGCTCCAGGATTTTTTCCTTGAGCACTGAAAATTTCAACAAATGCACCTCCCTAGAAAATGAAAATAAAATATTAAAAGACAATGCTAACGAGGAAGTATTATCCACCACATAGTCTATAACCAGTGTTCCCGGCATCTGTCAGTTAAGCTGATCTGGGATGAAACATTCTCCCTGTTATTACTCCTACTTTATACCTTGATTGTATCTAAACCACAACCATTCTGATTTGGATCACCTTGGATTAATGGTTTAAAGAATCTGTTTTTAAAGCATGACAAACATTAAATCAATTGTGCCATACAAACCCTACAGTATCTCAGTGGGGGACTCGTTTACTTGACACATACAGATCATTCTTGCAAAACATTTTATGTTTTACAGACTGTGTTTTGCAACCACACTAAAGGGTTTAAACGCAATTCTTGAATCAGGCCAATACATTCAGGTAGTTATCTCCAAATACAAGCTTTCTAGTCATACTGACTGAGGCTCCAACACTGGCTTTTTAACTATCTGAACTTGGAGTTACTTAACTTCTTGATTCTCCATCTGTAAAATGGGTTGTTGGATTACATAAGATACTAAACATTAAACCTTGAGCATAATACTCAGCTCACAGCAGGGGCTCAACAGCACCATCAAAGTTTATTCAAAAAATGGGAAGGGAAATTAAACAGTTTAGTACTGGTCAATAAAAAGGCCTGGGAGGGATTTGGAAATTCCTATTTTGAGCATTCCTACAAGATATTTTTACGTATGTAATACAAATTAATGTGAAGATCTATAAAATCTGTATAAGAGAAATAAAATATTGTGTCTACAGACAGCCTACTGGTTCCCCATTGTAAACATGAGAACATGGAAGGACACACTTATGTAAGCACACTGAAGATATTACTGAATGTCCATAAGCTTTAATTATTTAAGAAAGGGGAATTAAATAAGATAATTATCTCTAAGGAAGAATTTATTGCAAAAAATGAGAATCCTATATGAGGATTAAATACGGTTTGAATTATAAACAATATGTGAGCAAATCTAATTTCTGTAAGGAATTTCCAGCTTTTAATTTTTCTCAGTAATATAAAGATATTTTTGCCTCTCAGTTATAACACACGATCACTTGGAGGTAAGACATTTAATGTCTTCTTCCTTAGGCAGTATTACGTGCAAACTGTATATGGGATAGAATTACTATAGCTTGTGAGGGCAGGTAATATTTCACTATGAATTTAAATTTGAGACAGCTAGTTGTTTTAAAAGACAAAAGCCCTCATACTCGGTGAGACGGCAAACTCTCCCTGCTGCTTTTTGCTTTCCCATGTCCTCCAAGTTTCCTGTAGTGGGCACATGTTTTTTTGATAATATATTTTACCTATAAGAAGTGAGACAAACTCTCTAAAAGTGTTCTAGCCCAATTAGTGATAACGAATGGGACAGAAGAAAGAGAACTGCAGACTACTCCGAGAGCACTCATAATGAGGCAAGTAGTGTTAGGTGAATGAAAAGGCAGAAGCAATAAAGAGGTGGAGACGGGTAGAGAACTGATTAGATACAGTAACAAACGTTCATCAGAACAGCAGGACTAGCATGGTAAACAGACTGTAAACAAGGAGTGTAACCTCTTGCAAAGGCGAGGAGAGGAGACCAGGAAGGGAGGTGTCCAGTGAGGTGAGGAAAGCAGGTCGAGACACTCTAGGATACTCAAAGTGACTGAGGACGACCCAGAAGCAGTGTTTCTCCAAGTGTGATCCTTGGACCCCCTGCATAGGAATCACTTGGGGGAACTAGTTAAAAAGCTTAATCAAGTGACCCCCATCCAGAGATTCGGATTCACCAGATCTGGGATGCGGGTCAGGAAATCTGCACGTTTACAAGCACCCCAAGAAAGCCTGATGTACTCCAACGTCTGAGATTCACTGACTCCCAGTTCTGTAAAAATAAAACAGCACATAGCCAAAGTGCTTATTTTCTTTCTTGATGTAACAATGCATGCATTCACTCATTCACTCTTCTAAATCGCTTCTGAGATACCAGTGTTGCATGAATACTGAGTCTCCAAAGCGCTTTGTTAAAACTCAAGATTTCTGGGCCCTGCCCTCAAGATTCTGATTCAGGAGGTTTCAGTGGGGCTTAAGATCTCCATTTTAGGTAGAATCACAGACAATTAATTCATCTTAAGAAACACTGAGTTGGAGAGTGAACAAAAGCCAAATCATACGCCTAGACATTGGTAAATTTTTCCTTCTCTCTGGGTCAACAGCATTCACCCATTAATTCTGTCTTACCCCTGAAAAAGACCTTATTATGGGGATAGAGGGTGCACTTTATCCTCACCCCGATCACGGACTACCTCACCCAAGAGGAGAAAGGTATAGACAGGTTGGAGAACCGTTTCGGGTTACCTGGTACTCATTTTTGAACATTCCCGCAGGGGGCCCAGGGCTTGGGGGGCACAGAGTTCAGGGTTTCCAGCGAGTGGCGTGACCCTGACGGCTGGAAATCGGCTGGCGGGAACCCAGGAGCCCGACGGGTGGGAAAGGGCTTCGTGCTTGGCCCAGACTTGGGCAGGCTCTTCTCAGCCCCTCCGGCCCCTGGTCAGCTCCATCTCCCGCCCTCCATCAGCACCATTGCGGCTCCAGCCTCCGCGGTGCCCGGGTCTGGGGAGGGCGCAGCTGCCTGGACGGACTCCGGGCCGTCCCTGGGGAGTGATTGTGTGTGTAACCTACGTGACGGGGCGCCCAGTCGCGGAGCCACAGACAACCGCCCGCTGGCCTAGGAAAAGCGGGCGCGCTCCCGCTGCCGCCCCACCCCAGAATCAAACCGCGAAAGAGCAGCGCCGAGCGCCACCCGCGTTCCGGCCGCGCCCATTGGTTCCCACTGGGCGCCTGCGCGTTGCGCTCTCTAGGCTTCTCGCCGACGGGCACGGGAGGATACGCGGTGACGTAGCGTTGCCCAGGCAACCGCGGGACTCCTGGAGAAATGGTGGGCGGTCCAAACGGTGAGCAGCACGCTCCTTACTTAGGTCATGACCTCTGCCGACTAAAAAGGCTAAACTCAGCGTGGATTAGGGCTATACCAGGTACTGGACTCTTCTAGAGTACTGTCACATCGGTTTGGTCTCTCCTCGTGGTAAACAGATAACTGGTAGGTTCCTGAGGGATACAGTCATGGACTCATGGAACCCTCACGCGGCCTTTGCTTAGAAGGTTCCCAAATTTGGGTTCGTTGAGGCAGTAAGAGGGTCTGCTGGACCCTTTCATTGTTTCAGAAGACCCTAGGAAGCCAAGATTTTTTTGTAGAAAATAATAACTTATTGAGACTAGCACTGGCTTAAGTGTAACTATTAAGTTACTTTATTTAGTTTCTAGATCAGAGCCACTTCTTACATGGAAGGTACTATTGCCAATTTTTGGCTAAGGAACTGTGGCTCAGAAAGGTTAAATGGCTTGGCCAAAGTCATATGGCACTGAGAGGTGACAGCATGCTGGCAGTCCTCAGAGCCCTCGCTTGCTCTCGGCACCTCCCCTGCCTGGGCTCCCACTTTGGCGGCATTTGAGGAGCCCTTCAGCCCCCCACTGCACTGTGGGAGCCCCTTTCTGGGTTGGCCAAGGCTGGAGCCCACTCCCTCAGCTTGCAGGGAGGTGTGGAGGGAGAGGCGCGAGCGGGAACCCGGGCTACGTGCCGCGCTTGCAGGCCAGCTGGAGTTCCGGGTGGGCGTGGACTTGGCAGGCCCCGCACTCGGAGCAGCCGGCCAGCCCTGCTGGCCCCGGGCAATGAGGGACTTAGCACCCGGGCCAGTGGCTGCAGAGGGTCTACTGGGTCCCCCAGCGTGCTGGCCCACCGGCACTGTGCTCGATTTCTCGCCAGGCCTTAGCTGCCTTCCCGCGGGGCAGGGCTCAGAACCTGCAGCCCGCCATGCCTGAGCCTCCCACCCACTCCGTGTGTTCCTGTGCAGCCCGAGCCTCCCCGATGAGCGCCGCCCCCTGCTCCACGGCGCCCAGTCCCATCGACCACCCAACGGCTGAGTAGTGTGAGCGCACGGTGCGGGACTGGCAGGCAGCTCCACCTGCGGCCCCAGTGCGGGATCCACTAGGTGAAGCCAGCTGGGCTCCTGAGTCTGGTGGGGAGGTGGAGAGTCTTTACGTCTAGCTCAGGGATTGTAAATAACCAATCAGCACCCTGTGTTTAGCTCAAGGTTTGTGAGTACACCAATTGACACTCTGTGTCTAGCTGCTCTGGTGGGGCCTTGGAGAACCTGTGTGTCCAAACTCTGTATCCAGCTAATCTGATGGGGACGTGGAGAACCTTCGTGTCTAGCTCAGGGATTGTAAACGCACCAATCAGCGCCCTGACAAAACAGGCCACTGGGCTCTACCAATCAGCAGGATGTGGGTGGGGCCAGATAAGAGAATAAAAGCAGGCTGCCCGAGCCAGCATTGGCAACTAGCTGGGGGTCCACTTCCACACTGTGGAAGCTTTGTTCTTTCACTCTTTGCAATAAATCTTGCTACTGCTCACTCTTTGGGTCCACACTGCTTTTATGAGCTGTAACACTCACCGCGAAGATCTGCAGCTTCTCTCCTGAAGCCAGCGAGACCACGAGCCCACCAGGAGGAACAAACAACTCCAGACGTGCTGCCTTAAGAGCTGTAACACTCACCGCGAAGGTCTGCAGTTTCACTCCTGAGCCGGTGAGACCACGAACCCACCAGAAGGAAGAAACTCCGAACACATCCGAACATCAGAAGGAACAAACTCCAGACGCGCCACCTTAAGAGCTGTAACACTCACCGCGAGGGTCCGCGGCTTCATTCGTGAAGTCAGTGAGACCAAGAACCCACCGATTCCGGACACAGCACCAGTTAGGAACTCTTATCTGATGCTGCACTCATGGTTGAGTTAGGTCAATGGCATAGGTTAATGCTAATCAGGTACCACTCATAAAATTCCTGCTATAGGCAGAGTGGCTCACAGGTTCACGATTCTGTGAGGTAAGGGTTAGTCTCCTTTCATTTGAGAAGATTGAGATTCAGAGTCGATTAGGAATTTACTCAAGGATGCAATATTGAGTTTCATTTATGTTTGAGTCTAAAGCCTGGAATCATTCCACTTCACCCAAAAACCTCAAACATTTATTGTCGTATCATATGCCAACTATTATGGATTATGTAAGGGACGCGAAAATAAATGATATTTGGACCTGCTCCTTATCAAGGATAAGAAGAGCAGATAAGGAACAAACCTTCTTGAACATTCTAAGCCAAATAATAGATGGAAAGGAAATAGAGGTGGGGGCCATGGCACAGCTATACATTGCAGTATAGTGTCTAGAATCCAAAATTCCTGATTTCTAGACTGGCAAACTTAGTTCAACAGCAGTTTCTTGTAAGGCTCTGTGCTGGAGGCTTTGACAATTGTGATCAATAGACATGGTCTCTGTCTTACAAGACTTATCTGTGGGGGACATTTATCCACTAATTCTTTTTAACAGTTTCTAGGAACATAAGATACTTCAAATACTATGCTAAGAGACTGGGTGTGCAGTGAATGGCCCTACCTTCATGGAGCTTACACAGGGGAGTGAGACAGATGATAAATAAAATAGCAAATAATTACAACTTGTGATAAATATCATGAATTCAATCACAGGGAGTAACATTGGGCGGGTATATTAGTTTCCTGTGGCTGCTGTAACATTACCTCAAAAGGAGTAGCTTAAAACAACAGAAATTTATTCTCTCATAGTTCTGGAGGCCAGAAGTCCAAAATCAAAGTATCAGTAGGGCCACACTCCCCCTAGTGGCTTTAGAGGAGGATCCATTCTTTGCCTCATCCAGCTTCTGGTAGCTGTTGGCACCCCTTGAATTGTGGCTTCATTTGGAGGCCAGAAGTCCAAAATCAAAGTGTCAGTAGGGCCACACTCCTCTAGTGGCTTTAGAGGAGAATCCATTCTTTGCCTCATCAGCTTTTGGCAGCTGTTGGCACCCCTTGAATTGTGGCTCCATTTCTCCAGTCTCTGTCTCACCTCCGTGGTCACATTGTCTTCTCTTCTGTGTGTGTTTTCCCTGTGTGTCTCTTATAAAGAGGTTGTAATAGTATTTAGGGCCAACTTTGATAATCCAAGGCAATCTCTTTATTTCAAGATAATTTAATCACATCTCCAAAGACCAATTTTTCCAAATAAGGAAACATTTACATGCTCCGGGGGTTGATGTGAATATCTTCTTTGGGCAGCTGTTAATAATAAGGATGGCAAAAGGTATAATGAAAATCTGGGAAGAATCTAGGGGACATCTTAAGGCTTCTAACAATCTACTTGGGTCTCTGAAAAGGGTCTTTTGACACCATAGTTGAAGTGAAATCCACAACTTTGCCCTACTTTATTTTTTTCTTCCTCTTATGATTACATGAGTTAATATGTTTATCATTTATCTACAACTAAAAGGGTGAATTAATAACCTCAATTTGTCAATGAAAAAATGAGCTACAGAATTGAAAATGAATAATTACAGTGAATCAGTAAGTCTTATTACTCAGGTGTTTTTGGTTTTGATCACCTGTTTATTCAACTTAAGACTAGAAGGAAACAGTGTCCATTTATTTCAGTGTCCTCACTTCCTAAAGAGAAAGTAATAGTCCAAAGCCAAACATTGTCATCTGACCGTCCTAATTTCTAACAAGTTCAGGAGACTCAGAGTTGGATTTTCATTAGCAAGTATGATATACTGCTTGTCCAGGAAATGGGCAAATCTGAAAGCTGCCCAAGTTTATCAATGGTATTTTGCCTATGGTGAGAGCCACCATTAACAATGACAATGGTAGCAATAAAACAAAAATAAGAATGTGCAGTACTTTAACAGTATGAATTCAAAATCAGAGAAAGGTGGAAATCCAACTTTACAATAGCAAGTACTCTTCAATTTGATTGAATGCAAGCTATGAACAAAAACTTGGATTTGACTATGACTTCAAGGATATCTAGCAGAATTCTGAAAAAAAGAAAAAAAAAGAAAAAAGCCAGCCTGCCCAAACAACTTGGCTTAAACCAAGTTATTTATGTTCATTATAAAAGATAAACCAAGTTATTTATGTTCCCTATAAAAGACAGTGAAACAATTTCTTTAATTGCTACAATTTTTTAAGAAGTTGGTACATTTAGTAATTGCGTTAAATTGCTTAACTTAATTTGATAACTTTAAGATTAGTCACTTTACAAGCTGTAAAGTGCTTGTCTTTGTTCTACAAAGAAAGTGATTGAAAAAAATAATTTGTTGGTATATTAATATTAAAGGATATTGGATAGTATTTAAAATGGAATAGACTAGAAACAGTTTTTAAAGAGTGGCAGTCTTCGTATGCCAATATAGCCATTCCACTTAGATGAGTATGATTATCAATTTGACGAGAAATAATATCTTTTGAACTAAGAATGTACTGTATTTACCACAATATTGTTGTAGTTTATATTTTGATTACAGTACATAATCTAATTATTTGGCTAATGGGAAGAAATAAGATATCTGTTTCATGAGAATTTGCTACACAGTAATCTAGAAATGTTTAATACTTGAAGGGTTAATTTTTTATACATTATGGAATAGCTTTATGAATGATAATGTTGAGTTGATAGGAAAGTTTTGAAACTGGGCCTATTTTATAGTTTTAAGCAAGAAAAATTAATGATACCAAAGTTATTCATTTGACAGGTGATTTGAAAATAGTAGTGTCTTCTTTTTTCCAGAAAGTATGGAATGGTGAAAGTTTTTGAGGGCTTTACTGTTTTTAGATTTTCTCCTCAAATGGGTTTTTCCCCCTTCTCAGGTCCATGAGATCCTATGGGGACTATTTCTTGCCTGTACCTATAGATGACCAAGTACTTCAAAAGTCATGCATCATTTTAAAATTTCCAAAACCACTTGAAAGCTTTCTCAGGAAAACAAGACAAAACAAAAAAACTATCCCAGTAGTTTGATAATTAGGTATGAATACTTTCCTAAATAAAGTAGCTTTACATAGCAAGCACTTAGGTTTAGAAAAACGACCGTTTGCCAAATGCATCTTTGAAAGGAATACATTTATTGAGTGGATATTTAGTATTAATTTGTTTTACAATGACATAAATGATCAAGGTTTTTAACAGACAAGTTAGATCTAAGTAGCAAGTTTTTCTTGGATAACTTTCTCTAACCTAAAGCCAGTTAGTGTTGATTTGTGATAAAAGGGCTGTAGAAAACTAGATGTTTACATGAGAAAGAATGAAATTGGACTCTTGCTTTACTTTTTAAATGTATATACATGAATTAACTCAAAATGAATCAAAGACATAAGACCTAAAATTATAAAACTCTTATAAGAAAACATAAGGGGAAAACTTAATGACATTGGACTTGGCATTGATTTCTTAACAACCTAGAGTAGATCCAGCTGCATCTAGAGGTCAGAAACATCATCAGGTTTCCTTTCTCCACACTGCTTCCTCTAGGTTGCCTCAGTCGTTAGGCTGGCTCTCTTTAGGTTTACAAAATGGCTATAGCATTCTCAATTTTACATTCTGATATCGCTAAATAGAGCATTTGGGGCTAAAGTCCTGAAGTTTACCTTCATTTGGATCAGTTCAGGGGATATGCCTATCTCTGAAATAAACACTTTGGTCAGATAAATAAGCTTAAGGCTAGATTAAGTGCTTATTCTTAAACCAGTCCCGGCAAACAAGGAGATGAGATATATTGATTGGCTGGGAATGGGGTACCACCCAAACATGTAACTAGGAATGGGGAAGGATTGTTTCCCAAAGGAAACTCTGGGTCCTCTTCTAGGGAAGGAGGAAGATGGATATTGGGCAGCCAAAAGGAGATATCTACTATAATGATTTTTTTTTTTTTTTTACAAATAACAGACACCAGACATATTTTTTAAAAACTCTAACTATACATGAATAATTTAATATGAAAGAAAGGTTCGCTAACATTCTTTAAATGATTTGATGTACATATGTGTAATTCAAATATCATAGGCCCTTTTCATTATCCCAGGATTTACATTAACTCCTTTTTTTTTTTTTTTTTTGAGACGGAGTGTGGCTCTGTCGCCCAGGCTGGAGTGCAGTGCAGCGATCTCGGCTCACTGCAAGCTCCACCCCCTGGGTTCACGCCATTCTCCTGCCTCAGCCTCCCGAGTAGCTGGGAATACAGACGCCCGCCACTACGCCTGGCTAATTTTTTGTATATTTAGTAGCGACGGGTTTTCACCGTGTTAGCCAGGATGGTCTCGATCTCCTGACCTCGTGATCTGCCCACCTCAGCCTCCCAAAGTGCTGGGATTACAGGCATGAGCCACCGCGCCCAGCCTCATTAACTCTTAATATTCAAGCCTGGATTTTTTAAGCTCTTACCTGCTTAGTAACAGGAAATCCAATGTTATTGGATGCCTGTGTATTTCCAGGATCTTTAAGAGGATACTAAGTAGCCAGGAATCACTTCAGAAGTGATTACTTAACTGCATTTTTTTCTCAGACCAAACATTTTTATGAGGGATTCCACTTAGTTGCCATTGTTACCACTATTGCCAAAGAATACCTGCCATGTTTGAAGTTGTTGAAATTAGAATGTAACTGCTTTCGCTAATGTCACCAGTGAAGCAAAGACATCTGGAAGCTGGCCTGACACTCACAGCTAGGTTTTGGTGTTTTGTTGTTGCTATTGTTACTGAACACCAACAGTTTCACAGAATATCAACATCATACAAAACCACTCTGTGACCATGATGAATCAAGATAAAAACATGAATATGGTCCAAATCAAAAAGATGACTAAACATTTCCCTATCGTGGTTAATATGAGTGACTGCTGCTTCTTTACCAATTATAGCTAAGCCTTACTTCATTCTTCCTGTCTTATATATAAGATTTATTAATATTCCCAATCATTGAAATACTCTTGGTTCCTGACAGGATCCAATCCAGAGCAAAGCTCTACTTCCCTAAACCCTCCCCTAAATCAGCTAACATAAGCCCAAATCCTATAGTAAGTTCTAACATCCTCTTACTAGCATACCCAAGGTTCCCCAATGGTGTATTTTCTTCCTTGTTGCAATGAGTAATGAACCCAGCTTCTTCAACTACTGATATATCCCTGATGTTCTTTGGCTGGGGGGCATTAACACCAGTAAATCTAGAATTTTGTGTTTTTATTCTTAGGAAGCAAACTGAATGGTTATTGTGAATTTCACTCAGTTGCCAGGAAGAAGAAAAGTCTTTTCTGCAAAATTATTTGAGCCCCAGTATTCAGTGGTTAGCAATAAAGCTATTGCACTCAAATGATGCAGCTAGTCCAGACCTAACTCTGAAGCCCAGACCCCAATTGGAACTATTTAAATAAAGTGATCTACACTGTCGCCCTGAGTACCACTTACACTGCCTACCACCATCATTGTCCATACTGATTTTTCGATGTGTATCTTCTTTCATTTACCAAGAGAAAGATGTCTTTTCCAGGTAAGATAAGGTGTTTGGGGTGGGGAAGTCCCCACAGCGAAGCTGACTGGGTCCCAAAGTTCTGTAATTTAAAAAATTCACACATACATACATACATACACACACACACACTCACAGGCCTATTCCATGAGGTTGGTTGGGTTGGGACAAGTTTGACTATTTGCCCTACCCATACCAATATTTCCTTATCATTTCAGGTCCTGTTACTCATCTAACTCATTGTATATTCTTTCCTAATGGTGAATTCTTTTCTGAAGCCCCTCCTAAAATCTGATTTCCCCAATTTTCTGTCAGTTAGGCATAGCTCTGTCAGGTAGGCATACATATGTCAACAGAGTTTAAATATTTTTCTCCTGGGAGGCTCTTGGCCCTCAATAAAACCACCAGATGCAAATAGGTTATGTGTATGAAGAAATTCACACCAGTCCCCTAAAATATCTAATCTTAGTTCAAATTAGACCACATAGAGAGGGAAGTTGTCTAACTCAACTGTCCAAAAGCATCTGAGTTCCACCTCCACTCAAGTGCCCTAGTACTAGCTTATATTTCACCACCAAGAATATGTGCAGAAGAATGGGATTTCCTTCTCTCTTTTCCCCTTTCTCACCCCACAGGAGGCAGATATTTTGTTTAGCATATTAAATGCCGTTAAGCTATGGAACACAGTCAATAATATGTAGAGAAAAGTCTATTCATCTCATAGAAGTTCCAGTGTGAAGAACCCGAAGGACTTCTCAACCCCACCTCACCCACCTCTTACCCCAGGGCCCAGGGTAAGGACCTACCATGACCACTAGGATAGAGAGACAGGTGAAACTTAGAATTCTCCTTCAGCTATGCTTCTAGGATGGAACTGGAACCCAGGAGGGAGTTCAGAGGGATAGAAAAAGCTACAAAGAAGAGGGAAGACAAGATAAATGCGAAGTGGGAAAAAGGCAGTAGAAGGGAATCCAGGATGTTCATCTTGCAAGGTCTTCTGATGTCTGATATTTTTTGTGTTTCTGATAAGTTAATGGAAAGGATATTTTCTTGCCATTCACACAGACTTCTGCATGTGTGCTGATAGTGTGTGCCTAATGCATACAAACACATTCAGAACACCTTTTCAGAACACATATGAATAATAACCATTATTATTATTTCTTATTTCAATAGGTTTTTGGGAAACAGGTGGTGTTTGGTTACATGGATAAGTTCTTTAGTGGTGATTTCTGAGATTTTGGTATGCCCATCACCTAAGCAGCATACACTATACCCAATGTGTAGTCTTTTATCCCTCATCCCCTTCACACCCTTTCCTACAAGTCCCCAAAGTCCATTGTATCATTCTTATGCCTTTGTATCCTCATATCTTAGCTTCCACTTATGAGGGAGAACATACGATGTTTAGTTTTCCATTCCTGAGTAACTGCCCTTAGGATAATGGTCTCCAATTCCATCCAGGTTGCTGCAAATGCCATTATTTCATTCCTTTTTATGCCTAAGTAGTATTCCATGGTATGTGTGTGTGTGTGTGTGTCTATATATATAACATTTTGTTCATCCACTTATTGATTGATGGGCATTTGGGCTGGTTCCATGTGTTTGCAGTTGTGAATTTTGCTGCTATAAACATGCATGTGCAAGTGTCTTTTTCATATAAGGATTTTTTTCCTTTGGGTACATACCTGGTACTGGGATTGCTGGATCAAATGGTAGATCTACTTTTAGTTCTTTAAGGAATCTCCACACTGTTTCCACAGCGCTTGTACTAGTTTATATTCCCACTAGCAGTGTAAAAGTGTTTCCTTTTCATCACATCCATGCCAATGTTTATTATTTTTTGATTTTTTCCTTATGGCCATTCTTACAGGAGTAAGGTGGTATTGCATTGTAGTTTTGATTTGCATTTCCCTGATAATTAGTGATGCTGAACATTTTTTCATATGCTTGTTAGCCATTTGTATATCTTCTTTTGAAAAATGTCTATTCATACCATTTGTCCATTTTTTAATGGGATTGTTTTTCTTGCTGATTTGTTTCAATTCCTTGTAGATGCTGGATAGTAGTCTTTTGTCAGATGCATAGTTTGCAAATATAGTCTCCCATTCTGTGGGTTGTCTGTTTACTCTGCTGATTATTTCTTTTGCTGTGCAGAAGCTTTTTAGTTTAATTAAGTTCCATCTGTTGATCTTTGTTTTTGTTGCATTTGCTTTTGGGCTCTTGGTCATAAAGTCTTTGCCCAAACCAATGTCTAGAAGGGTTTTTCTGATGTTATCTTCTAGAATTTTTATGGTTTAAAGTCTTAGATTTAAGTCTTTGATCCATCTTGAGTTGATTTTTGTATAAGGTGAGAGATGAGGATCCAATTTCATTCTTCAACATGTGGCTTGCCAATTATCCCAGCACCATTTGTTGAATCGGATGTCCTTTCCCCACTTTATGTTTTTGCTTGCTTTGTCAAAGATCAGTTGAATGTAAGCATTTGGCTTTATTTCTGGGTTCTCTATTCTGTTCCATTGTTCTATGTCCTATTTTTATACAAGTTCCATGCTGTTTTGTTGATTGTAGACTTCAAGTATTGGTTGAAGTTGGGTAATGTGATGCCTCCAGATTTGTTCTTTTTGCTTAGTCTTGATTTGGCTATGCAGGTTCTTTTTTGTTTCCATATGAATTTTAGGATTTTTTTCTAGTTCTGTGAAGAATGATGGTGGTATTTTGAAGGGAAATGCATTGAATCTGTAGATTGCTTTTGGCAGTATCATCATTTTCACAATATTGATTCTTCCCATCCACAAGCATGGAATTTGTTTCCATTTGTTTGTGTCATCTATGATTTCTTTCAGCAGTGTTTTTTTCTTGTCGAAATATTTTACCTACTTGGTTAAGTATATTCTTAAGTTTTTTTTTTTTTTTGGCAGCTATTGTGAAAGGGGTTGAATTCTTGATTTTATTCTCAGCGTGGTTGTTGTTGGTGTATAGCAGAGCTACTGATTTGCATACATTGATTTTGTATCCTGAAATTGTAGTGAATTCACTTATCAGTTCTGAAGCTTTTTGGATGAGTCTTTAGGGTTTTCTAGGTATATGATTATATCATCAGCAAACAGTGACAGTTTGACTACCTCTTTACCAATTTGGTTGCCCTTTATTTCTTTCTCTTGTCTGATTACTCTGGCTAGGACTTTTAGTACTATGTTGAATAGAAGTGGTACAAGTGGCCATCCTTGTCTTGTTCTAGTTCTCAGGGGGAATGCTTTCATCTTTTCCCCATTCAGTATGATGTTGGCTGTGTGTTTCTCATAGATGGCTTTTATTACCTTAAGGTATGTCCCTTCTATGCTGATTTTGCTGAGGGTTTTATTGTAAAGCAATGGTGGATTTTGTCAAATGCTTTTTCTGCATCTATTGAGATGATCATGTGGTTTTTGTTTTTACTTCTGTTTATGTGGCGTATCACATTTATTGACTTGCGTATGTTAAACCATCCCTGCATCCCTGGTATGAAACTCAGTTGATAATGGTGGATTATCTTTTTGATATGCTGTTGGATTTGGTTAGCAAGTATTTTGTTGAAGGTTTTTGCATCTGTGTTCATCAAAGACATTGGTCTGTAGTTGTTGTTGTTGTTGTTGTTATGTCCTGTCCTGATTTTGTTATTAGGGTGATACTGATTTCACAAAATGATTTAGGGAGGATTCCCACTTTCTCTATCTTTTGGAATAGTGTCAATAGGATTGGTACCAGTTATTCTCTGAATGTTTGAGAGAACTCAGCTGACTTCAGCTGTGAATTGGTCTGGTTCTGGAATTTTTTTGGTTGGCAGTGTTTTTATTACCATTTCAGTCTCGCTTCAATCTCATCTGTTCATAGTTTCTATTTCTTTCTGGTTTAATCTAGGAGGTTGTATATTTCTAGGAATTTACCCATCTCCTCTAGGTTTTCTAGTTTCTTTGCATAAAGGTGTTCATAGTAGCCTTGAATGATCTTTTGTATTTCTGAAGTATCAGTTGTAATATCTCCTGTTTCATTTCTAATCAAGCTTATTTGGATCTTCTCTTTTCTTTTCTTGGTTAATCTTACTAATAGTCTTTCAATTTTGGTTATTTTTTCAAAGAATGAGTTTTTTGTTTCATTTATCTTTTGTGGGGTTTTTTGTTTGTTTGTTTTCATTTCATTTAGTTCTGCTCTGATCTTTGTTATTCCTTTTCTTCTTCTGGGTGTGGGTTTGGTTGTTCTTGCTTCTTTAGTTTCTTGAGATGTGACCTTAGATTGTCTATTTGTGCTCTTTCAGACTTTTTGAGTTAGTCATTTAATGCCATGAACTTTCCTCTTAGCACTGCTTTTGCTGTATCCCAGAGGTTTTAATAGGTTGTGTCACTATTATCATTCAGTTCAAAGAATTTTTAAATTTTCATATTGATTTCATTGTCGATCCAACAATCATTCAGTAGCAGGTTAATTTTCATGTATTTGCATGGTTTTGAAAGCTTCTTTTGGAGTTGATTTCCAGTTTTATTCCACTGTGGTTTGAGGGAGTACTTGATATAATTTTGATTTTCTTAAATTTATTGAGACTTGTTTTGTGGCCTATTATATGGTCTATCTTGGAGAATGTTCCTTGTGCTGCTGAATAAAATGTGTATTCTGCATTTATTCTTTAAATATCTGTTAAGTCCATTTTTCTAGGATATAGTTTAAGTCTATTGTTTCTTTGTTGACATTCTGTCTGGATGATCTGTCTAGTGCTGTCAGTGGAGCATTGAAGTCCCCCACTATTATTGTGTTGCCATCTATCTCATTTCTTAGGTCTAGTATTAATTTTTCTATAAATTTGGGAGCTCCAGTATTAGGTATATATTGATTTACAACTGTGATATTTTTCTGTTAGAGTAATCCTTTTATCATTGTATAATGTTCCTTATTGTCTTTTTAAACTGTTGTTGATTTAAAGTCTGTTTTGTCTGATAGAAGAATAGCTACTCCTGCTTGCTTTTAGTGTACGTTTGCATGGAATGTCTTTTTCCACCCCTTTACCTTAAGTTTATGTCAGTCATTATGTGTTAGGTGAGTCTCTTGAAGACAGCGGATACTTGATTGTGGATTTGTATTCATTCTGCCATTCTGCATCTTTTAAGTGGAGCATTTAGGCCATTTACATTCAGGATGAAGGTACTATTCTATTCATCATGCTAGTTGTTGCCCTGAATACCTTGTTTTTGTTTTTCAATTTTGTTGTTATTGTTTTATAGGTCCCCTGAGATTTATGCTTTAAGGAGGTTATATTTTGGTGTATTTTGAGGATTTGTTTCAAGATTTAGAGCTCCTTTTAGCAGTTCTTGTAGTGCTGGCTTGGTAGTGGTGAATTCTGTCAGCATTTATTTGTCTGAAAAAGACTGTATCTTTCCTTCATTTATGAAGCGTAGTTTTGCTGGATACAAAATTCTTGGCTGATAATTGTTTTGTTTCAGGAGGCTAGAGATAGGACCTCAGTCCCTTCTAGCTTGTAGGGTTTCTCCTGAGAAATCTGCTATTAATCTGATAGGTTTTTCTTTATAGGTTACCTGATCCTTTTGCCTCACAGCTCTTAAGATTCTTTCCTTCATCTTGACTTTAGATAACCTGAAGACTATGTGCCTATGCAATGATCTTTTTCTAATGAATTTTCCAGATGTTCTTTGAACTTCTTGTATTTGGATGTCTAGATCTTTAGCAAGGGCAGGGAAGTTTTCCTTAATTATTCCCTTAAATATGTTTGCCATACTTTTAGATTTATCTTCTTCCTTGGGAATGGCAATTCTTAGGTTTGGTTGTTTAACATCATTTCAAACTTCTTGGAGACTTAGAATTTTAAAAAATGAACATTTTTTTTTTATTTGCTGGATTGGGTAAATTCAAAAGCCTTGTCTTTGTGTTCTGAAGTTCTTTCTTCTACTTGTTTGGTTCTGTTGTTGAGACTTTCCAGTGTATTTTGCATTTCTCTAAGTGTGACCTTCAATTCCAGAGGTTGTGGTTTTTATTTACGCTGTCTCTTTATCTGGAGATTTTTTTGTCCATATCTTGTATTTTTTTGTTTTATTTCTTTAAGTTGGTATTCACCTTTCTCTGGTCCTTCCTTGAGTAGCTTAATAATTGGCCTTCTGAATTCTTTTTCTACCAATTCAAGAGATTTCATCTTGGTTTGCATCATTGCTGGTGAGCTAGTGTGATCTTTTGGGGGTATTAAAGAACCTTGCTTTGTCATATTACCAAAACGGTTTTTCTGGTTCTTTCCCATTTAGGTAGACTATGTCAGAGGAAAGATCTGGGGCTCAGGGGCTGTTCAGATTCTTTTGTCCACGGAGTGCTCCTTTCATGTGGTAGTCTCTCCATCTCTAGGGATGGGGCTTCCTGGGAGCCGAACTGCAGTGATTGTTATTTCCCTTCTGGATCTAGCCACCCAGCAGAGCTTCCAGTCTCCAGGCTGGTACTGGGGAGTGTCTGCAAAGAGTCCTGTGATGTGATCTGTCTTCAGGTCTCCAGGTCTCTCGGCTGTGGATACTAGCACCTGCTCGGGTGGAGGTAGGAGGGGAGTGAAATGAGTCCTTGGTTGTAGTTTTGTTTAGTGAGCCACGTCCAGTGCTGATTGTGCTGGCAGTAAAGTTGTCACATGGACAGACTCAGGATCTCTGGTTAGCCAGGTTGTTACAGGCAATGAAATTAGTTGTTATTTTCTCCTTTCTTGGGGCAGGGTTGTTCTTTTATGAGTTGCTGTAATGTTTTATGTTGGCTGGTCTCCAGCCAGGAGGTGGCGCTTTCAAGAGAGCATCAGCAGAGGGCTTCCTGGGAGGAAACAAGTATACCCTAGGGTTGCCTAGATAAGTATTCAGGTTTCTGAGGTGGTGGGTAAGGCCATAGGGCTCTTGAAAGATTATGTCTTTTGTCTTTGGCTACCAGGGTGAACAGAGAAAGATCATCAGGTTGGGGCAGGATTAGGTGTGTTTGAGCTCAGATTTTCCTTGCGGGGGGCGGTTTTCTATGGCCACTGTGGGGGATGGGGGTGTGATTCTCAGACCAATGGAGTTATGTTCCCAGAAGGATTATGGCTCCTGTGCTATGTCATACAGGTCACCAGGGAAGTGAGGGAAAGCTAGCAGTAACAGGCCTCATCCAGCTCCCACACAGCCAGAAAGGCCAGTCTCACTTCCACTGTGCCTCACCAACAGCACCGTGTTTATATCCAGGCAGCCAGTGAGCAGGGCTGAGATTCTGGCAAAGGCTACAAGCCTCTCCACTGAGAAAGCAAGTAGGGCTTTCAGGTTTCACACCTCCCTGCCTGCCACAGCTTCTGTGCTCGTATCTGTGCTCCCCGTTTGCCTCCCTCCCTGGGATTCTGTCCAGGAAAATTCATGTTCAGTCAAAATTATTACAAAGTTTAGCTTCTTCCTGTGGTCCTTCCCCAATTCCACTGGCAGCCCTCCCCAAGGACTCCTGTGAGGGAAAGTCAGAAATGGCTTCCCTGGGGACCAAGAGGGCCCACACTGCTCTTCCCGCTGCTTCCTCTTCATCTATATTTCACTTGGCTCTCTAAATTCATCACAGCTACAGGTAAGGTCAGCTCCTTCTCCTGTAATCTGGACTTTAAGGTCCCCAATGAGGATGTGTGTTCAGGGGCGGATTTTTCCCCCCTGCTCACACTTGGGCACTCACAGTTTTTTGGCTGTCTCATAGAGTCTGCAGCAGCAAGCCACTTCCTTCAAAGGGTCTGGGGATTCCCTTGGCTTTCCTGGTATGTTCCTGCGGTAGTTCTTAAAGCAAAAGGTCACGGTGTGAGTGTCCACGTGCTGCTCTGTGCGTCTGAGTGGGAGTTGCAAGTTAGTCCTGCCGCCTATCCGCCATCTTCAAACCCACAATTTTTTTTTTTTTTTTTAGTTGTAGCCTTTAAATACATCTTAATTAACTGAAAAGCCCTTGAAAAAGCAAGAAAAAGTCAAAGAAAGTATTTCAAGATAAAGGTCTCTTCACTGATAATTTGGGTAAGGCAACCTTTCATGAAAAGACTGTGAAGTTCTTTTTTTTTTTTTTTTTTTGAGACGGAGTCTCGCTCTGTCGCCCAGGCCGGACTGCGGACTGCAGTGGCGCAATCTCGGCTCACTGCAAGCTCCGCTTCCCGGGTTCACGCCATTCTCCTGCCTCAGCCTCCCGAGTAGCTGGGACTACAGGCGCCCGCCACCGCGCCCGGCTAATTTTTTTTTTGTATTTTTAGTAGAGACGGGGTTTCACCTTGTTATCCAGGATGGTCTCGATCTCCTGACCTCATGATCCACCCGCCTCGGCCTCCCAAAGTGCTGGGATTACAGGCGTGAGCCACCGCGCCCGGCCTGAAGTTTTAACAAACTTTCTGTAAAACCATTTTTAATGGTCTTTGGATATATCTAAAGTATATTCTAGCCGTATTTATTACACAACACTTTATGGTAATAAATTTGCTACTCTTTCCTGATGAACAGTTTGTGTTAACCAGATTTAACCAGAGATTTTGGGTCTGTTTATAATTTATTACTGTGATCCATTTTCTTCAAATATAATCCCCAGGGGAAACAAGTTGCTTTAATTCACTGACCATAGAATCAAGTGCCACCACCCCTACCCTCAGAAGCTCAGACTCTGAACTTTCTTCAGTTTTAAAAGCTGTTAACTGCTTACCTCCATCTGGAACTATTTTGCTGGCTCTTCTTCCTCCTTTCACCCTGTAATTATAAGTATTCCAGAAAGAGGTCTTTTTTCATTCAAAGGTAATATTTGAGAGCCACTAGATGCCAGATGCTGTGTTAGGTATGGAATACAACAGTCAACAATGCAGCTTTATCCTCTGCTTTCTCTCCAATTAAGAGAGCTAAAATTAACCAAGAACTAATATGTGTGAGGTCCTAATCTAGGTGCCTTATGTACATTCATTCTTCTAATTCTCACAACCATAGGGCAGAGACAGAATAAGCAACTTGCTCAAAGTCATACATTAAGAGGTAAGCCCATGCTAAATTACCTGCACTGCTTTTCGAAAAATGCCATGAGATGTATAAATTAGGCCTTCTGGGAGGAGGTGATGTATCTTGTAGAATGGAATGGATGAATTTTTTTATTTTTTGAGATGGAGTCTCGCTCTATTGCCCAGGGTGGAGGGCAGTGGTGCAATCTTGGCTCACTGCAACCTCTGCCTCCTGGGTTCAAGTGATTCTCCTACCTCAGCCTCCCGAGTAGCTGGGATTACAGGCGCACACCACCAAGCCTAGCTAATTTTTGTATTTTTAGTAGAGACAGGGTTTTACCATGTTGGCCAGGCTGGTCTTGAATTCCAGACCTCAGGTGATCAGCCCATCTTGGCCTCCCAAAGTGCTGGGATTACAGGCATGAGCCACCATGCCCAGCCTGGATGAAATTTTCAAATGTGGCTATCAGCATGGGGGTGAGAGTGCAGAGTAAAAGATGTACCACTTGCATATAATATGCTGTGTGTCGAAACATATTTACCCCAAATCATATCTTTTTTTTTTTGAGACGGAGTCTTGCTCTGTCGCCCAGTCTGGAGTGCAGTGACGGGATCTCGGCTCACTGCAAGCTCCACCTCCCAGGTTCATGCCATTCTCCTGCCTCAGCCTCCTGAGTAGCTGGGACTACAGGCGCCCGCCACCACGCCTGGCTATTTTTTTCTATTTTTTAGTAGAAACGGGGTTTCACCGTGTTAGCCAGGATGGTCTCGATCTCCTGACCTCGTGATCCACCCGCCTCAGCCTCCCAAAGTGCTGGGATTACAGGAGTGAGCCACTGCGCCCGGCCTCAAAATTATATCTTTTTTGCTGCCGCTGTCATCAACTAGCTTTATTTTATATATCTAAAGTACAAAACATGATTATTTTAAAATATTTTATAATTCAGATCCCATGTTCAAGTGAGTGATGTTGTGCTGCATTTGCTGGGGATGTGATTGGAAATACACAGGCACTGGTACTGTCCACCACTGCTATCTTTGGTTTCTACCTAGTTCTACTCTTTCTCGGTTGGCCTGACAATTTTAATAGCAAAGGCAGGAGACTACAGACAATCTTTCAAGTGGATGATTGTGGATAATGCATTCAGCTAAATTGAAATTAATTGTAGCTATATTTAGATAATAAAATGGTTCTATTGAAAATAGGGCTCAGACTTGTATAGAGCAAAAATTAATCTCTGTATTGTATTGCTTAGGCAGTCTGCTATTCTCCTGATATGACATTAGAATGAGGTTACTTAACACTTACTGAATTTTTTTAGCTTTTTCGTTTACCCTCCTTACTTTTTCCCCTCATTTGTTTATCTCTTTCATTGTCTTGTTTGGGCTTTTTCCAGTCCTTGTATTTTTCACAATAATATTCCTTCTAAGTCCTTTAGGGTAAAATGTAAACACTAAATGGAGAAATGTAAATCTGCAAAGAGATTTTGACAGCTTTGTTTTCTGTTTATTTACTTGTTTAGGAATTCGTTCTTTAGTTTGCCAGAAAGCAATCCTGTTTATAAATAGTAGAACCAGTGCTGGAAATATGATTTTCTTTATAATATAATCTTAGGTAAACTTTTCAACATATAAGAACACCTAGATAGTGTTATAAATAATGTTAATCCAATAAAATATGAAATTTACACATATTGATTTCCATTGCAAGTTGGAATATACTGATAGATATGCCATTAGTGCTCTAACAAGCACTTCCTTTCATTGCCATATTCAACCAAAATGTAGATTGTTATGGGCAATCTGCCTCCTTTTTTGCCTCAAATAGTTGTATTTAGTTGCAACATGCTGCAAACAGAATGGATTTAATTTAGAAGCTTCCTTGGTGTATAAAAAATATTCAATATATGATATTAAAAACCATTTGTATAAAAGAAACCCAAAGGATGCATTTTGGCTTTTTAATCTATAACAAATTATTTTAATTTGGGAATGCATGCAAATATGAATATAGTATACAGGGCTTGTGTATTATAAGGTTCATTTAAACTGTTTGAGTGTATTGGGAACTGCAAGTTTTCTAGCTGAATTTTGAGATAATAGCATCATTTTTGAAATTTTGAGTTAAAAATTTTGAGATGATTATTATAATAGCGTCATTTATTCAGAGTAGTGGGAACTGCAGGTTTTCTGGTTGAATTTTGAGATAAGAGTATCACTTATTCAGATGTTAGATATATTTAACAAGAAAGGATGATAGTAATTTGTGTAGATTTGGGTGGGCAGATAAGAGTTGAGTCCGGCCCTGCCCTAAAAGATGTCTTTTTCTAACTTTTTAGACTTTGGAATTCATTATAGAAACAAAGTATTCCTTCGTATATTATGGCCTCCATAGATGTATTTAAAGAATCCAAAGGTCAGAAATTCATTCAGGTGCTGCATAATGATGTTCTGGTCAACAACTGATTGTCGTGACCGTGTATGATGGTGGTCCCATAAGATTGCAATGGGGCTGAAAAATTTCTGCAGCATGGTGGTGTCTTGATGATCCTGGCCCTATGCAGACTTAGGCTAATGTTTGTGTCTTAATTTTTAACAAAAACATTTAAAAAGTAAACAAAAAAGTTAAAAGTAGAAAAAATCTTATAGCATAAGGATATAAAGAAAAAATATTTTTGTACAGCTATACAATATGTTTGTGGTTTTTTTCTTTGTTTTTTTTAACTTAAATTTTTAAAAATTTCAATAGTTTATAGGGTACAGGTGGGTTTTGTTTACATAGGTAAGTTCTTTAGTGGTGATTTCTGAGATTTTAGTGCACATATCATCAGAGCAGTGTACACTCTACCCAATATGTAGTCTTTTATCTCTTATCCCTCTTCCAACCTTCCCAACAATCCCCAAAGCCCATTATATTATTCTTATTCCTTTGTGTCCTCATAGCTTAGCTCCTGCTTGTAAGAACATATGACATTTGGTTTTTCATTGCTTCTTTTCTACATGCAAAATATACTCATTCTCTGCCTAAAGAAGACAACTCAATTGTCTCATTCAATCATAGTATCAGGCTCAAAGTTCAAGATATTGTGATAGTCTCTCTATAAAACATGAATGTGATTCCTCTGATCCAGAGACTTAAGAGCTAAAAAAGGTGAATTATCTATTTTCCATAAGTTTAATATACAAAGGTGGAACAGGGATGGGTAATTTCATTTCAACAAATTGGAATAAAGTCTCTCATGCTTGAAAGGGGAAGAATGGGAGGCATAACAGTCATTAGGTCATATATATTCTGAAATCCTGCAGACTCCATAAGGGCCGCTTAACCTGGGGGTGAGGCATGTTTCTTGATTAGTCACTGTTTATGCTGCCTAAGAGTAGCTTCTGAGGACATTTTTCTCCGTGGCTTTTTGCTCATCTTCTTTTTCATGATCCTTCTTGGCCACATCTGAAAAGGAGACTGGAGAATATGCCTTCCTTGGGGGTTTTGTGGCTTCCTCAGCTTCCCTCCTACTCATGAAAGTTGTAATGTAAAAGTTGATTTAAGTCTGAAACAGCATCTTTTAATGCAGCATATGGCTCTTTTGTCAGTACAAAATTTCTCATAAACATCTTAGATTTAATATTTGATTCTTGTCAATTCCATGTGCCAATAGTCATGTCAAGTTTTTTCATCTCTCTCTATCTCTAGACATGTCACTGTCTCTATGGACATATAACTGATATGTGGATAATTCATTGGTTTTGTGCATAATCACATCTTTACCTCTTTCCAAAGCTATCCTTTTCAACTAAAATGACTTACTGAATGCCATCTTAATTATTCAGGTATTTGTTGAATGCAATGTTTACATTAAGTATTGAACTTAAAGTTTCCTCAATTCTAGATTTATAGTTAGAGCTTAGTGGTGAGATTTGAGAACTGATTGCATTTGCCAATTCTGCAACTCTCAGAAATTCTGATATTCTCTGTTTCATTTCTGCTTGCACACTGGCCAGTTCTTTTCTGAATTGTTTTGTTGCTTGATGAATGCAGGCAACAGCAAGAAAATGTGCTCCTAACATTTGTTATTTCAACTTTTTCACCTAAGGCCACATGCTTATTGTTTCCATTATCTAACTTTTAAAGTTTGGGTATCAATTTTCCCCAGTTTTGCTACTGCAAAACATGTCACCTGTTTCTATCTGCCAGTAACCATCTCCCTTCCACCTGCTGCCTAATCCTAAAGCCAATGCCATGTGAAGTTCTGTTCAAGCAGCACCCGCTCCTGGTACCAATTTCTATGTCAGTCAGCTTATACAAAGTTATATAGTGCTAACAAACAATTTCCAAATTTCACAAACTCATAATTAACAAAGGTTTATTTCTTTCTTTGCTTGTTTTTCAAGGGCTAGCTGTGGCTTTTCCCATCACCTTCATTCCCAAACAGCTGCTATTTGGGACATTGTGGGGTTTTTTTTCTGTTTTTTGTTTTGTTTTGTTTTGTTTGTTTGTTTTTTGTATTGTGGCAGAAGGAAAACAATGCAATAGAACCATTCAGTGAGTTTTATGGCTTATGTTTGGAAGTGAAATGTACACTTGGCCAAATTAAATCACATAGCCAAGTATGACATCAAGGATAAAGGATATGAGAATCTGTAATCCTTCTGCAAGGAGCAGTAAATATTTTGGTCAATAATACAATCTACCCCAGCCATCCGCTTTTTTGTGCAGAATAAAATCACATCAACATTTATTTATTTCTGTCTTATGTTTTGTCTGCCTCTTCATCTGAATTTGTTCTAACTGGATATGCAAAGTATTAGTATACAGAGAGTTTATGTTGGAAGTTATGCTCTGTCATTTTTTTTCCCTAGAAGTTGTTGCATGTCAATGTGTTGCTAGAATTGTAAAAGAAATGTTTATAACATTCTGATGATGGAGCCAAAATTGCAGAATGAATAAAGGAGAGGAAGAAGAAACCTGTTCCTTGAAGATAACGTTAACTGAGTCAAATAACTCAGGAAATGCCTTTCACCTCCTGCCGTGATTCTGAGGCCTCCCCAGCCATGTGGAACTGTAAGTCCAATTAAACGTCTTTTTCTTCCCAGTCTCAGGTATGACTAACAAAAGAAGTGTAAGACTTGTACGTTGAAAATTACAAAACTTTGCTGAAAGCAATTAAAGAAGACCTAAATAAATGGAGAGATGTTCCATCTTTGTGGATTGGAAGATTCAATATTAAGATGAAAATTCTCCACTAATTGAGCTCTGGATACAATACAGTCCCCATCAAAATTCTGGCTGGGCTTTTTGCATAAATTGACAAGCAGATACTAAAATTTATGAAGAAATGCAAAACACACAGAATAGACAAAGTTATTTTGAGAAAGACAAAGTTGGAAGACTTTTGCTTCCCAATTTCAAAACTTACTATTAATAACAATTATTAAGACAGAGTGGTACTGGCATAAGGGTACATATAGGTCAATGAAACACAAGAGTTCAGAAATAAATCTTTATAGCGAATTGATATTTGACAAATATGGCAAGAAAAGTCATTGGGGAAAGGATAATCTTTTCAACAAATGGTCACTGGTCCAATTGAATATCCACATGCAAAAAAAGATGAACTTATACCTTTACCTTATGCCGTACATAAAAATCATAGTCTTAAATGTATGCTAAAACAATACAACTTTTAGAATAAAATATTGTAGAAGATCTTTGAGACCTTGGGTTAGGCAAAGATTTCTTACATATGACCAAAGGCTCAGCCCACAAAAGAAAAAATGATAAGTTGAACTTCATCAAAATTCAAAACTTTTTCACTTTAAGTTTGAAAATAAGAATACAAGCAATAGACAGGGTCAAAACACATAGCTGATAAAGGACTTGCATCCAGAATATACAAATAACTTGTACAACTCAATAAGATAAATAACCCAGTCAAGATTGGGCAAAATATATAAACATATTTTACCAGAGAAGATACAGGAATGGCTACTGAGCACGCAGATAAAATGCTCGACAGCATTACTCCTTAGAAAAGTGCAAATTAAAACCACAATGAGACATCATTTCACCCCTGCTGGAATGACTATAATAAATTACAGTAACAAATGTTTGTGAGAATGTAGAGAAATGGAAACGCTCATACATTGCTGGTGGGAACGTAAAATGTAGCTATTTTCGAAAACAGTTTGGAAGTTTCTCAAAAAGTTAAACATGAAACTACGATACAAGCCAGCAGCCCCACTCCTTGGTATCTATCCAAGTGAAATGAAAAAAGTCCACACAAAGGCTTGTATGTGAATGCTCATAGCAGCATTATTTACAATAGCCAAAAACTAAAAACGACCCAAATGTCGACTAGTTAATAGACAAAATGTGTTATATTCATATAATTGAATATTATTCACCAATTAAAATAGTGAGCTACTTACAAATTCTCCATCATGGATAAACCTAAAAAATTATGCTAATTATAAGAAGGATATAATTTATATGATATGTTCAGAAAAGGCTAATTTATTGAGTTAGAAAGTAGCTTAGTGGTTGCCCGGATCTAGGGGTGGGAAGCTGGATTAACTGTCAATGGGCATGAGGGATCTTTTGTTGGGGGGAGGATGAAGATGGCTAAAACTGATTTATGGCTACGTTTGCACCACCCAGTAAACCTGCTAAAAATCATTTAAATTGTATGCTTGAAATTGGTGAATTTTATTACACATTTTACATATATGAATAAAACTGTTCTTGGAGATCACATGTGGTGATATGCCAAAACACATAAGGAGATGAAGACAGAACAATTAAAAATGTCATCTTGGGCTTTCCTAACAGTTTAGGAGGATCACAATGAGATGACCAAATTGGTTTAAAACAATTTATCTTCTGGTGTTATTTCTGTTTTTGGTGGCCACATTCTGTGGTGGCTAGATAGCCTCTGTCATTTAGGAAACATAAATGTAGACAGAGACCGGTGCTCTCTAAAAAGATTGAAAAAAAGGTCACAGATAAAAGCTACAAGAGCATCTTTTTGTTCTCTAAAAGTTTCACCAGCTGCTACCATAATCTTTTGAAGTCTTCATTTTGTCACTGTATAATTCACAGAGTTTCATGTGGTTGTTGTTGACTCTACATTTTCTCTAAGGTCAGTTTCCAGGAGCCAGATACTGTTTCAGTTGGTTTTAAGTAAGGATTTGTATGTTCTCTGAAGTGAAATAGTTCACTCTGAAATGAGCTTATGGAAATAACTGTCCTAAAAACTAAGCCTTGTGTTTCTGGAGCAAAATTAATTTGGATGGTTTATTAGTTAGTTTATAACAGCTAATGATCCTTGTTAAGGTCTTCTTGAGATAAGGAGCCTTCTATTTGTTGATCTCATTTACTTATTCATGGACATAGGCATTCATTCAGCAAATTTTATTGAGCGTCTCATTACTTAGCACTAATCTACGTTCTGGGAGTGTATCAGTGAACTCCACCTGATGAAAGAAAAAATAAATAAACAATAACATAAGCAGGGTAATTTCACAAGACAGCAGTTGACATGAGAAACAACAGCCAAAGGAACTATTGTAGATAGGCTGATGAGAGAAGTCTGTGTGTGGAGGTCAGATGTGAGCTAAGGTCTGAATGATGGGAAGAAACTAACCATGTGAGGATCTGGGGAGAGAGTAAAACAGGCCTAGAGAGTATAAAACAAAAGACCTCTAGGAGAGATTGATTGGGTCTCGAGTGTTTCTGAGAATATGGAAGCAAATGTTGTTGGAGTATGATGATGCAGGATCATAGCATATGTATTATAGGTCATAGTAAGAAGTATGAATTGAGTCTAATCACAACAGAAAGACTTTTTGAACAGGGGAAAGGTTTTTAAGAAGGCAGTAACAATCTGATGTATTATTTAGATCAGTTTGGTTGTTAAATGGAAAACAGAATGGGGTAGGGGATGAAGTGCATAGTTAACAGAAAGACCAATTGAAAGACTTTTCCAACACTTAGGAAAGGAGATAGTTATATCTTGGACCACGGTAGTAGCAATAGCGATGGAAAGAAATGACTAGATTTCTATTTTTTTTCTTTGGTACTTCTTAATGGTTTAAAGGTGGAGGATGAAATTAGATAAATCAAAGAGGACCTTTAGATATTTAATCTCAATAACTGGAAGGATAGTGGTATCATTTGCTGAGATGGGGAAGATAGGAGAAGAAACAGATTTGAAAAAAATCAAAAATTCTTCTGTTTTTAATAGGTCAAATATAAAATCATATTAGTCATCCTAGTAGAATATCAAGTATCATAGTATTTAAATCTGGAGCTCAAAGGAAAGGTCAGGAATGAACACATAAGTTTGAGAGTTACTGCATATAGATGGCATTTTTAAATCCATAATTTCAGTCTCTGGAGGAGATCACCTAGGGAAGAGAAAAGTGCTCAGCTCTAATTCTGGGGCTCACAAACACTTAAAAGATGAGTAGAAAGAATGCAAAGAAAGCCAAATAAGTGAAGCAGGTTGAGTGGAGACTATGTTGCCTAGAAAGTGCATCTCCATCCAAAGGCTCTGCTGCCGCTCAGCTCCACCTGTGTGTTGCTAGGCAGTGCCATAAGGAGTTGTATTGAAGCCTGAGGCAAAAGGGAAAATGTGTATTTCTATATACACTTACCAAAATATCTTCCCATATTTTGAACTAAGTGGAAGAAGTTAATTAAAGTTTTACAATAAAAAGTGACTATATCTAAAGCTCTGTTATCCAATCTGTTTGTATATCATCTTCAATGCTCAGAAACCTGCCCAGTGGCAGGGCTTGATGGGCAAGTGACCTCAGTGTACAGGGCTGATTAGAAATGACTTCCCATGGCACAGTAATGGAGGGTTGTAAAACACATGAACAACAGCCTCACTTCATTTAAAATTGTTTTTTATCACAGATTTTTTGCATTAATATTGATTACGTAAAGATTGCATTAAAATATTATTATTATTATTAGAGACAGGATCTTGCCTTGCCACCCAGGCTGGAGTGCAGTGGCATGATCATCACTCACGTAGCCTTGAACTACTCGGCTCAAGCAATCCTCCCACCTCAGCGTCCAGAGTAACTGGGACTACAGGTGCACACAATTATGCTTGGCTAATTTTTTAACATAAAGTATTATCTTGATTACTGAGTTATCTCACACCCCTTGACATTTTGCACCCACAGAATATTTGGTTTGCTTCATCATAATCCTGATCCTGGACTCAGGGCAGAATTTTCCCCATTTTTAAAGAGAAACTGACAATCCAGATTTTGGTGTGAAATCTCACATTTTAAATATGTTGGCTAGTTAGTTAAAAAGTTAAAAAATGCAATGTTGGCCAAAGCATTAGGAGTTCCACCATAAAGCATTCTAGTATGAAAATCCCATTGAACCGGCCATCCAGTCGTAGTTTTAACCTAACCACATGGCACTTAAACTTTTCTGGGCCTCATTTTTTGTATTATTAAAAGTAAACGTCTATGACCCAGTGTAAGGCATGGTAATTATAATTTAACAGAATACTAAATTGACTAAATCCTGTGGATCTGAAGTATGAATGTTAGATTTAACCATTTGAAATTACTGATAATAAGCCTTTTTTTCAGACAGGGTCTTACTGGAGTTTAGTGGCACAATTATGGCTCACTGCAACCTCTGCCTCCCAGGGCCTCAAGCAATCCTCCCACTGTCAGCCTCTCAAGTAGCTGGGGACCAGAGGCGTGTGCCACCATGCCTGGCTAATTGTTGTATTTTCTTTTAGAGACAGGGTTTTGCTGTGTTGCCCAAGCTGATCTCAAAACCTGGGCTCAGGCAGTCTACACTCCTCAGCCTCCCAAAGTACTGGGATTACAGGCGTGAGCCACCACACCCAGCCTAATCAGCTATTTTGGATCTACCAAAACATGAAATTCATTTGGTTCAAGCTGATAGTTTTGTTTCAGCCTGTTGAGGCTGACAGTATGATGAACCAAGCAACGCTCTGCTGAGCCTGAGGTGAGGGAAAACTGTATTCCCCTATGTTTACAGCAAGATCAGGAGTTTGGCCAGAAACCTCGGGCCAGAAATCTCTAGCCAGACGACAAGGGCCAGTGATAGGGACAGGATCATAACTTGCCTTTTTTTCTGCTGTAGCTGCAGCTAATTTGATCTGAGCTCCTGTTCCCAGAGGCTCTCACTTAGGTGCTTTCTCTCTATACAGGCCTTCAAGTTGTCTATATCTGAGTCCATTTGGGTTTCTGACTTGGATCTGAGTGATTTATGTATATGAAGATCTTAAGCCTTCATTGTCTTTAAAACAACACTGTTTTGAAATAAACAGCTGAAATAAAGTCTCTATCAATGCTTGTGCATTTATTTTTATCCAGGAAAGGTAACTGAGGTTGGCATTAACCAAGCATAAAATGTAACTGTTTACCAGCCTCTTCCAATCTGAGCGCGCGCACACACACACACACACACACACAGACACACCACGTGTAGAGTTCTTAAAATGATTATCTCGTTAGTTTAAGGTGAGCCTTATATTAATATACATAGTAGTTTTCCTACTCCCTTAGTTAATTGAAAGCTACAGCTAATGCTTGCAATTGAGATGTACATGGATTTCAGGCCACATTACTTGTTGCCAAACTCAATTCTTTAGTTCACAGGGAACACAAACATCTTAAACTATTCATGTCAGTCCGATATTTTGTGCTTCAACATGTAATATACATTAAAAAAAAAACATATGGGCTGGGCGCAGTGGCTCACACCTGTAATCCCAGCAATTTGGAAGTCTGAGGTGGGTGGATCACTTGAGGCCAGGAGTTCAAGACCAGCCTGGCCAACATGGTGCAACCCCGTCTCTTCTAAAAATACATGGTGGTGTGCACCTGTAATCCCAGCTACTAGGGAGGCTGAGACATGAGAATCACTTGAACCCAGGAGGTGGAGGTTGCAGTGAGCCCAGATCTTGCCACTGCACTCCAGCCTGGGTGACAGAGCAAGACTCTATATCAAACACACACACACACACACACACACACACACACACACCCACCCCATAGAATCTCCTTTTATACATTAGGATACTAGAGTTTTTAATTCAATTCAAGAAACATAATAGGTGTTAAATACCTATATGTTGAATGAATAAGAATATTTTGGATATTTACTGTAGGCTTAATGTTGTGATAACAAAATGTAAAAAGACCTTGTTTTTGCAGAGGAGTATAGGAATACTGGAGTTTGTATCCATTTCATTAAAAATAGGCTCAAGTTAAAAATGAGGGTACATAAAACAGCCTTATTTTATACCATCTAAAATTCAAGTTTTCTCTCGCTTATGGTCATTGTGCAGTCTAATTTTAAAAGTAATAGAGTGGTTTTAAGAGAGCATTAAAAAAGGATATTAAGATTTTATAGTTTAGAGAATAAACTGTTTCTCAGATTAAATAAATGTTATGTATAGCCTTAATTTATGCTTAAATTTTTTTTCTTATGTGAGGGTGTACAACAATAATATATGGTAGGGAAAGGAGAAACAAAGCCTTCCTCTTCCCCCTGGAGGATATTAGATAGAGAGAAACATGACTAGAGCTTAACAAGTAAAAAGCCTGTGTTGAACTGAGGGGATGTAGTGGACAGAGTAGCTAGCCTCCAAGTTGTCTTTCAGTGGTCATCACCTCCAGTATTCATGTGCTCATGTAGTCTTTTCTCACATCACACAATGGTCAGTCTATGTGACCAATAGAATATGGTAGATACAATGATACGTTACTCCTAAGATTAGGTTTTAAGACTTGGCCGTCTTAGTCTCTCTCTCTCTCTCTCTGTCTCCCCGCCGCCTCCCTCCATGGGATGGATCACTCTGGAAAATACCAAGTTTGTGTCATGGGGACCCTCAAGAAGCCCCATGGAGATGTCTACCTGGTGAATAACTAAGGCTTCCAGTCATCAGCCAGCAAGGGACTGAGGACTCCAATCAGTAGCCATGAGCATGAGGTTGAAAGTGGTTCCTCTAGCTCCAGTCTTCCCATTCCTGGATTCCTAACCCTCCAACAATGAGATAATAAGTGTTTGTTGTTTTAAGGCACAAAGTTTTCATCTGATTTGTTACGCAGTACTAGATAACTAATAGATAATTCCTACCTCCCCACGGTAGACCCATAAAACTCAAATTCCAACATCCTGTACATCTACAACATAGGCATGCATTCTAAACTCCACCACGTAGATTCTCCCATGCTAGATTTCAATTCAGCAATAGGCAATTTAAATAATGAGGTTCTCTATAGAATCCTTTTAGCTGGTGATGTAGTGGGTAAGAATTTGGCTTTGAAGGATGCTGGTGGTTGCAATGTCCAGTTACTGGGACTGAGTGACATTAGTATTGCATAAACAGCAGTGGTAGTTTTTCACCCTGTCGGTTCTGCAGGATGGTTTCAGTCCTTTATCCTGGAATTCAGTTTTAAATGGAATCCTCCTAGTCCTAGTCACTACTCCTCCTACCAATTCTGCAAGCTTTCCAATATCCTTTTCGGTTTCTGTTACTTGCAGCTAGAAGCCCTAACTGCTACAGAGAACTGCCAGTGAAAAGGAGATGCCCTTTCTGTAGATAGAATACAGGTACTTTTGCATGGAACTGAGGGGAGTATACCTAAGGAGTAAATCAGAATAAAGAGTTTTGAAATAATTGGGGCACAAAAGATTTTGCCATAGGGCTTTCACAGGAAAAGAGATCACCTCTGTAGGGACCTGATGTGGCAATAAAGTCCATCAACCCTGTTGTCTGTGGAAATATTTAGTGGATGGGAAAGCTAATTTTTATTCACTGCGCTAGCATTATTACATGGAAGTATTTTATAATGATCCTGAGTCATCAGGATCTTTTAAATTATGTTCATTGATTTGCTATGATAGTGAAGTTTTGCAACACCTTAGACAGATTTAGAGAGATTTTAGTGAGAAATGGTTTAAGATAAAAAGTCTCCATCAAGTGATTACAACAGAAGTTTATTTGTAAAACTCACTTGTATGGTATAACTCATTGCTCAACATTGCCAGATAAATCTGCTGTTGCTGCAGGTGCCAGATAACTGATTCATTTATTTCAGTTTAAATTTTTCAGTAGCAAATTTTTGCTGGTAGCTATATGTAAACTTTCATGGATGATCAGCTTATTTAATAGAGAAGAAACTCTGATTCCTGACTTCATTTACTTCCTTTACATGTAAAGATACAATCAATCAAAAAACACATTCGACAAAATATTTGTAACAGCAACTATAATTGATTTAACTATTAATTTCTGTATTATATCTTCCTGGTTTTTCTATAGGTATAGCTTCAAAATGTTTATGTTTTAAAGCATCCATTACAAATGTTAATGTTCAAAGCAAGTCTTTAGAAATGTCAAAATTTGAGTATCTCTTTGTTAATAAATATTCAGCATTAACAGGACATCTAGATCTGGCTGACTGTCAGGAATGTTGTACGAAAATTAAATCATTGGTGGACTGAATAAGTGAATTTTAGGATCCCTTCCAATTTTGAAATATTGTGAGCATCTGTGATGTGTACTGTTAGAGTTACCAAATTAGAACTCATAGTTTAACAAATACTTTTTTTCTTGTGGTGAATTTAATTCCATCTCTAATGTTTAGAACTGGATAAAATTTAAAGAATATGCTTATTCTTTAGAGTAAATTACCTTTATTAAAAGAATAAAGTTAAATGAATTGAGACTCCAGGAAAATTATCTAGTCCATTACAAATTCTTAGTTAAATGTCAAACGTTGTATTTTTAAAACAAAAACAACTTTTTAAACCAATAGTTGTTTAAATTTTTTGGCTTAATTTAAATGATTATTTTATATATATATATACTAAAAATATATAAATAAGTGTTTTATTTCCAAAACACATCTCAAATCTATTCATTTTGCTCTATTTCTCTTGGAATATCTGCTAAATCAAATAACCTGGGCTACTGCCGTTGCCTTCTACCACTCTCCCTGCTTCCTCTTTTGCCTTCCTCCAAGCCTTCTGTACACGGCAGCCAGAATGAATATGTGTCAATCATATATCATTTTTTTCCCCTTAAAATCCTTCTGGGGCTTCTCTCTGCCCTTAGCATATAAATCCTAGTTTCACAAATATGGCCAGCAAAGCCCTCTAGGCTCTCTCAGGTACCTGCATCTTCAACTTTATCTCTACCTCTAGTCTCTTTTTCCCCTCTCTGCATTTTTTTTTTGATATAGTAATATTGACTTATCATAATGTTTTCAAGGTTTATCATCTTGTAGCATGTTTTAGCACTTCATTCCTTTTTATTGCTGAATAATAGTCCATTGTGTGGATCTACTGCATTATGTAACTTATCTCCAGTTGATGGATATTTGAGTTCTTTCCCCCGCTTTTTGGCTATTAAGAATAATGCTTCTATAGGCATGTTTTTCTGTGAACATATATTTTCATTTATCTTGGGTGTATACCTAGGAGTAGAATTGCTGGGTCATATGGTAACTCTACGTTTAATCTTTACAGGAACTGCCAAACTGTTTTCCAAAGCATCTGTACCATTTTATATTCCCGCCAGCCATTGTAAAAGTTCCAGTTTCTCCACATTCTTGCCAGTACTTGTCACTTACCCATCTTTCTTATTATAGCCATCCTAGTGTGTGTAAAGTGTTCTCTCATTGTAGATTGGATTTGCATTTCTCTGGTGGCTAATGTTGTTGAACATCTTTCCATGTGCTTATATTGGCCATATATCTTCTTAGGATAAATATTGATTCCAATCCTTTGGCAATTTTTAAAATTGGGTTATTTGTCTTTCTATTATTGAGTTGTAAGTTCTTTACATATTCTTGGGTGGAAACAGTAGACACTGGGGACTTTGGGACTCAAAAGTTGGAAAAACTACATATTGAGTACTATGTTCACTATCTGAGTGATGGGTTCACTAGAAGCCCAAGCCCTAACATTATACAATACATCTATGTAACACACCTGCATATGTACCCCCTGAATCTATCTATATATATATTTTAAAAATTCTTGATACAAGTCAAGAGTTCTTGATACAAATCCCTTGATACAAATCTCCTATCCTTGATACAAGTCCCTTATCAGATAAATTATTTTCAAATTTTTCCCCATTCTGTGAATTGTCTTTTCCTTTTTTTGATGATATCTTTTGAGGAACAAAGGTTCATAATTTTGATGAAGACAAATTTATCCATTTTTTCTTTTTATGCTTTTGGTGTCATAGCCAAAAAACCATGTCCTGACCCAAAATTACAAAGATTTAAACTTCTCTTTTCTTCTGTGTTTTAGTTTTAGCTTTTACATTTAGGTCTTTAAGACATTTTGAATTAGTTTTTATAGATGGTATGAGGAAGAGGTAGAACTTCATTCTTTTGCATGTGGATTGTCTCAGCACCATTTGTTGAAAAGATGATTTATTCTTTCCTCATTCAATGGTCTTGGCACCCTTGTGAAAAATCAATTGATTATAGACACACGGGTTTATTTCTGGACTCTCAAATCTATTCCAGTAATCTATAAATCCATACTTATGTCTGTCAGTACTGCACTATCTTGATTATTATGACTTTGTAGTAAGTTTTGAAATCAGGAAGTATGAGTCCTCCTGCTTTGTTCCCCTTTTTCAAGATTGTTTTTGGCTATTCTGGTTTTCTTGAATTTTTGTGTGAATTGTAAGATCAGCTTGTCAATTTCTTTTTAAAAATGGCAACATATATATATATATATATATATATATATATATATTTTTTTTTTTTTTTTTTTTTGAGACGGAGTCTCATTCTGTCACCCAGACTGGAATGCAGAGCGCGGTCTTGGCTCACTGCAACCTCCACCTCCTGGGTTCAAGCGATTCTCCTGCCTCAGCCTCATGAGTAGCTGGCATTATGAGCATGTGCCACCACATCCAGCTGATTTTTGTATTTTTAGTAAAGACGGGGTTTCAACTTGTTGGTCAGGCTGGTCTCGCTCTCCTGACCTCATGATCCGCCCACCTCAGCCTTCCAAAGTGCTAGGATTACAGGCGTGAGCCACTGCACCCAGCCCAAGATTTTAATAACAATTGTATTGAATTTGGCAGTCAATCTGGGGAGTATTGTCATCTTAATATTAGTCTTCCAACATGGAATGTCTTCCATTTATTTAGGTCTTCATTAATTTTAATGATGTTTTGTTGTTTTCAATGTACAAGTTTTGCATTTCTTTGTTAAATTTACTCCACAATATTTTCTTTTCTTTTGGGACAGAATCTCATTCTGTCACCCAGGTTGGAGTGCAGTGGCATGATTTCGGCTCACTGCAACCTCCAATGAGGGTTCAAGCAGTTCTCCTGCCCAGCTTCTCGAGTAGCTGAGATTACAGGCACACGTCACAATGCCCAGCTATTTTTTGTATTTTTAGTAGAGACAAGGTTTCACCATGTTGGCCAGGCTGGTCTCGAACTCCTGACCTCAAGTGATCCACCCATCTTAGCCTTCCAAAGTGCTGGGGATTACAGGCATGAGCCACTGCACCCAGCCTAATTTTTTGATGCTATGATAAATTAATGTTTTCTTCATTTTCAGATTTTTTGTTGCAAGTGTATAGAATACAACTGATTTTTGTATATTGATCTTACTATCCTGTACTCATTTATTACCTCTAATAGTTTTTTTTGTGGTTCCTTAGGATTTTCTATGTGTAAGATCATGTCATCTGCAAATAGAGATAGTTTTAAATTGTCTTTTTCAGTCTTGATGGCTTTTTTTTTGTTTTTCTGGCCTATGAATGAAAGTGGTGAGAGTGGACATCCTTGTCTTGCTCCTGATCTTAGTTATGGGTTTTTACCCCTAGTTTCTTATACGCCAATCACAGTTTCCAGAACTTGCCACACTTTCCCACCTGGGGCCTTTGCAAGTGTGGTTCTTCTCATATTTAGTTTCTTCTCATCCTTCAAATTTCAGGAAAGCCTTTTCTGACTACCCCAGCTAAAATGTATTGCATTCTCTATGCATTATTCTCTGGAAGGGCATTGTAGATCCTTCAAATAATTTATCTCAATCTGGAGTTATTTTCTGTATTTTTCTGTTTGTTTATTTTCTGTGTCTTCGTGTATGTTCTGTGAAGACAGAGGAACCATTTCCATTGTGGTTGCTGTTGTATCTCCAGTGCCCAGAACAATAAACACTCCATACATTCTGTTAAATGAATGAGTAAATAAATAAGCACTCATATATCAATGTGTCTTTGAGGTCAGGTGACAGATTTTAAAAATCAAACCTGCCTCAACCTACCTACCATCTCCCATCTAGAGCAACCACTTCAGAAACCATCCATTTGTTTCATGATGCTACAATTTTGCAAAATATCTCTAGAATGCTTCTTTTGGAATTGGCTTTACAGCCTGTGTCATTTTCTTCTTTGCATCCTATCAATTCTTAAGAAAAATATGAGTTGTGTAAAATGAAATCCGAATCTACACTATGATAAATGTAAATATCTGGTATATGACACAGCAGTGTATTTGGCAGTGATTATTTATATTCCCCGACTCTACACAGCCATCCTTAGTGTGCTTATTAAGAGAGAAATCATGTTTCTTTCTAGCTAACATGTTAGGAAAGCTCCATATATGCTTCTAGAATAAACACATTTAGGTATGTGAAAAAAGAAAGCCTGCATTTTTCTCGGCTCTAGTCTGAGATTCCTGTCAGATTGCTTTGTCAGTCAGCATGTAAATAGGCAAGAAGCAATCCAAGACTGACTTTTGAAACCTCTGACCCTATCTTGGGCCCTGACAAGTTCTGGGACTCTGGCAGGTCCAAGCTTTAGCTTCTCTCCTGTGCAATCACCTACTTCACTAGATTTCTAAGAAATAGATAAGATAATTTCAAGTATTCATTTAGTGGTAGGTGTGTGGCATAGTAGGCTGTCAAAAATGGTAGCTGCTGTTATTATGATGATCACCTATTAGCCCAATTCCCACCCATCTTACAGCTAAGAAAACTGGGAGACAACTATTAAAAAGCTGAACTCAAAATGTCCTGGCTCACAGTTCACTTCTTTCCATTCCAACACGCAGAACAAGCCTCAGCTTGCAGAATCTAACATCTGGGAGGAGCAAGCTCATTTTATGGCTATAAGCTAGCCAGAAAAGAATATGGCATGTATACTTACTTAATGAAAAGTAAACAGAAAGACCTTTTTAGTCCTTTGGCTGCAAATCAGAATCTTTTTGTGCAAATTGAATTCATTTTGTTATTGCTTCAGGATAAAATAGATTCCATTACCATTCTCCATCACTATTTCTCCATTTTTCTTGCTCTCAGTGTATCCCATCTCTTAGAATTAGAATGGGAACTTTGGTTGATCACAGTAGCCATTGGGAAGTTATAGGGTAAACAAAGAAAAATAACCTTTACTGATAAAAAAGAAGGAGTAAAAAATAATCTTTGGGATACCAGTAACACTTTTTTTTCAGTCGGAGTCTCCCCACTCTGTTGCCCAGGCTGGAGTACAGTGGTGCGATCTTGGCTCGCTGCAGCCTCCGAGGCAGATGCATCACTTGAGGTCAGGAGTTCAAGACCAGCCTGGCCAACGTGATGAAACCCTGTCTCTATTAAAAATACAAAAATTAGCCAGGCTTGGTGGCATGCTTGTAATCCCAGCTACTCAGGAGGCTGAGGCGGGAGAATTGCTTGAACCCAATAACATTTTAATTTGAAAAATTTCCATAAAATTAGACTAGAGAGCTTTTGTGATCATATATAAATTGTAGGTGTATGACCCTTTTTGAGATTTGTATTTCACCTAGCAGTCAGGAAAAATCAGGTTGAGTAAAAAAAGTAGGTTGAAAAAATAATTAAAGGGAAATCTGAATTTTTAACATTCAAATATATTCTATTAGGTTTTTTTAAAACAACTATTGACTATATCTTTTACTAATAAAATGCAGCCTGAGGGAGGTGACTCCACAATACAAAAATAGCAAGAAATTCATGATTTTTGCTCCTTTCTTAATAATTTTTCTGTATTTTTATAGGATGGCCAAAGCTGTACCACTTAATGCTTTCAACGCAGATGATATAATGGGGGTAAAAATCCAGCCGGGTCCCTCTCCATCTCCCCAAGTCTTACGGAGAATGAACCACCTTTTATCTTTATACAAAGACTCCATCTTTTCACCAAGTCACATGCCCTGGGGGCTGCATCTATTCTTAAGGGACACCTTTCTAACTTGTCCAAAAATCCTGTATAGGCTAGGATGGTATAGGTGTTATAGCCTTACTAAATAATAACATCATAACACAGCCTGAAATGAGCTTACAGAACAAATCTGTTTTCCAACAATAAGTAAACACTCCAACTCTTACACATAAAAGTTTGTAATAGAAAATTTACCCTGTGTGAAAACTTCCAAAGTTCAATTACTAGTTAATTCATTTCCTTTATTCATGCGTGCATCTATTCATTCAATACACATAATAAATAGTTCCACTGCTGATCTAAGATATAAAGAATTTCAGAGGGCGTTCCATAAACAGTGAGTAAAAGTTAACCCATTGCTATTATATGCTATCACTGTGTGATTACATGCATATTATCATGATTACCCATTAATTTATAACACTGCACTTTTAGATGGATTGTTGAAAACTTGCTTAGTGTTTTCGGAATAGCTGCTAAGAAAAAGCTAGCCTTTGATTAGCACCTAGCTCCACTGTTTTCTATTTACCCTTTGAAGAAAACCTGTTCTGAATGTTTGCCTTTGTAGCAATTGTTAGGTTGGAAGGGGGTCCTTTTGGGTAGTTGCTCCACCTCAATAGGTCTCTATACCCAGCTCAGGCCACAGTAGCAGGCAGGTTCATTTTAATATAAATAACATTAATGAATGTCCTGTGTTGTAATATTATTCTTGAATCTTTACTTCTCTAGGAGTTCTCTTTTTATTTCTCTTTATACCCACAACAAATGCATTTCATAGCTTTTCAATGAGCAATCAAATACTTTGCAGACCAGAGCTCTGACTTCCATGGGTTCTCTTTTGGGAATCTGAGAGGTTAGTATTTTATGTATTAATTATGTCAGTTCATCTTTTACATAACATTCATTAATCTCTCTGGTGAAAACATCCCAAACAAATCAAGCTTCCTTCTTTTCCTTTTACTTACAGGTGTTTTGGGGAGCAGTGCTAAGAAAGACTCCCCACCCTTAGTGAGAAGAGAATAATACTGACAGGGGCTTGTCATCTTGAGTGTAAGTGTTTACAAATTAATCAGGTTCACTAACTCATAGTGCCTAACAGGGTTACCAATGGAAGTTGTTACAGTACCATTGAAATATTTTTCTTTTACTGCCTATTTTCCCTTCTCCTGGTAATTATATACCCATTTATCTTTTAGCCCATTAAGTAGTATTAGTTCAATGCCCCACTCAAGAGTTGAACATTTACCTGGGTTTCAGCCAATTAGCATATCATATTTCCTGGTCACAGTGATTTGTTCAGAGAAAGCCTTGCCACCAGATTGGAACCAATGAGACAGAATGAACCTTTGGCTGGCTGGGAATGCTGGGGCGAGAGCTCCCAGTCTTTTCTATTGAATATGGATGAGGAGGAGCCATCTTAGGAACACTGTGAGAGCCTGTCTGACAATGGTGTGTATGCAGAGATGGGGAGAGAGAAGTTGGATTTGGGTGGCTTTGTCTGAGTCCTTGGGTCCAGCGATGCCTATAGTCAGATTTGCCCCACTGGATTTTTTCGCTATATAAGCAATTCTCATTTTGCATCATCTAGTTAGGGTTGGAACAAACGACTGATACAGCATAGAGGGTGTGAAGAAGTATATGGGTAAGGGTTGAAGATGTGTTTGCTGAGATTGAGGCATCACTGACACAGTTTGGAATCCCTCCTGGTTCACCTGCAGCCCAGGATCCCACCTCTTTGCGAAGACTTTGAAAGTTTCAGAAGTGAATTCTCATTCTAGTTTAGTCCCAAGCTTGGCCAACCCTGTCCCACTTGTAGCTACAAGAAATGTAGATAAAGTCTTAGGATCAGATCACCATTCCTTCATAGTTCATCCTCCAGAATTCAGAGTTTACATGATTGGAATTGTCGTTAGTGTCTGAAGTGACTTGTAGAAAGAATCTGGAATAAAGCTCTCTCAACTGGGTTGTAAATTAGCGAGTCTTAATCTGGTATTGGGTGAGGTACATAATGAACTAGGATGGGGAATATGCTCAGTGTAAAATTCATAGGTTACCGGATACTTTTATTTTCCTACAGTTGGGTCCATCTTCTCCAAATTGGTAGGTTAAAAAAAGAAATTCAGGAAAGACGAAAATCATTACATATTTCTAAAGGATAAAAATACCAGCAAATGTTTTCGATAATATTTGGACATGTATAAGAAAGACCAAAGAGTTCCTCTTTAGTTGGATGTACTCATATTATTCAAAACATGGTTATTTGGATATATTTAATATGTGTGAAAATTTGTTGCCCTAATTAATATACATACACTTTTCTATATGTATATTTCAATACAAGGATTTTTAAAATCCCAGTTATTACAATGTCAAAACTGAATAAAATTATCTGTGTATATATATTTATTTAAATGGAATAATTTCAAAATGTAATTATATGTCTCTTATCCCAATAAATTATATGGCCCAGTATATGTGTTAAATTTGGCTAAAATTTTGAGTTGTATGAGAATGTTGCATATATTTCATTTGGAGATAATTACTACAGAAATCTGAATGTGATTTTTTTTTTTTTTAGATGGAGTCTCACTCTGTTGACAGGCTGGAGTGCAGTGGCGCGATCTCAGCTCACTGCAACCTTTGCCTCCCGGGTTCAAGCAATTCTTCTGCCTCAGTCTCCCTAGTAGCTGGGATTACAGGTCCACACCACCACATCCAGCTAATTTTTTTTGTATTTTTTTAGTAGAGATGGGGTTTCACCATTTTGGCCAGGATGATCTCGATCTCCTGACCTCGTGATCTGCCCGCCTTGGCCTCCCAGAGTGCTGGGATTACAGGCGTGAGCCACCGTGCCCGGTTGATAGTTATTAAAGTATCTGTTATTAGTCAGGGACCATCTAAAATAAAGCCTGTAAGTTCCATCTGTTCAAATTCTTCATTTGCTTTTGTGTCTAGCTTGTAATTTTTTTACCTCTTAAAAAAATGTAAAATATATCTTTTAGGACAGTCTCAGCATGCCTGTCCACATTTTCAATGGAAGTCTCCTATCCTGCATACAGTAATCTAGTAGGATTTGATTTGGCCCAGTCGTTTTTGCTATGTGCTTTTAAACAGATTAGTTTATCTATTCATGATGCTGACTCCAACTTAATTCTCTGGGAGCAGGACTGATATTACATATAAAGCACTTTATTCTGGAGTGAAGCACTGAAGAAAGTGTTCTGTTGTTTCATTGTAGCTGTTTTTCTATTATTTAAGCATTCAAATTTGATCTTAGGAAAGGTCTTTTCATTTTTTTACCCTAATGGATATTATAAACTGAAATTTTACATTTAGTGCCTAAAACACATTTATTATCATTTTATCTGTCTATATCTAATCATAACATCTATCTTTCATGTGTCTATCAAAATTACATTTTACTTCTGGTCGCATTTGTCAGACAGATCTATCAAGGGAGACCATTCTGAAAAGTTGGAGTTTTTTTCTCTTTGGAACTTTGTGATGAATATTAGTGCAGAGTTGAGTTGTTTTGCTGGTTGTAGTGAGCAGTATTTGCTTTGTGTTCCTTTGCCTCTCTCCCTTGTTGCATGGCCATCCTTTTGCAGTTATGACTCTGCTGTGGGTGTGTGCTGGCACTTCACCACCATCAGTAAACCATGGGTTGGATTTTTAAAAGTGTCTAGGCCTGGCACAGTGGCTCACACCTGTAATCCCAGCATTTTGGGAGGCTGAGGTGGGTGGATCACTTGAGGTCAGGAGTTCGAGACCAGCCTGGCCAACGTGGTTAAACCCCATCTCTACTAAAAAAAATACAAAAAATTAGCAGGACGTGGTGGCAGGAGAATAGCTTGAACCCAGGAGGCAGATGTTGCAGTGAGCCGAATTCATGCCACTGCACTCCAGCCTGGGTGACAGATCAAGACTCCGTCTCAAAAAAAAGAAAAAAAAAGTATCTAAAACTATTGTGTAAGAATCCACATGTCAGTCCCTTAAAACTTTTTTCTTTCTGTTCTTTTTGACCCCTACTTTTCCCAAACCTTAAATTTATTGTAGTGAACATTTTTTAATTTTTTCAATTAGTACAGTGAATAGTATTTACCAGTGTCTCTAATTTTACATGGTTTCTTTTTCACACATTAAAAATTATCCCTGGCTGAGATAATTTATATAAAATTATATATTACCAGTTTGAACACTTAAAAGGGACTCAATAAAGTTTAGTTTTTTGATTAGAAAAATTCTTTTCTTGTTAAAATTCTGGCGATTTTGAGCTAATGTTTATGACACCTTGTAGAAAAACATTCCCCTCGATAGGAGGCACTCAAAGATGAGAAAAGCTAGAAATATGAGCAGAGGACCTGATTATTTACTAGGTTCCAAATATGTCAATCATCCTTATTACACAAAACTTAGGATTTGTGGCCTTCCTGAGATCACTTGTAAAACTTTGTTCACAGAGGCTGCAAACTTTGAAGAGGAAATAGCATAGATTTGCCACGGATAATGGAAGGTAAGTGATTGATATTGGCAGATTTCAAGGATGATGGCCCTTCCAATCAGGACCAGTGGACCACGTAATACTTGGATCAGATAATTGCCAAACGCAGTGAACACTTTTCAGTTCTTATTTGATCTCCAGACATAGCAACAGCATCAAGTCAAATAAATGTTAGACTGGAAGGCTGAGTTGATAGTCTGGCCTTTACTTCTCTCTCCATAAGGCTGTTCGAAACCATTCCTTATTCACCTTTCTGTGAAACCTTCTACTTCATTAGGCCTCATGCCATCCAGCTCCAACACTCATTACACCCTCCATCTTTTACTGACAATATGCTATTTTCTTAGCTACTCATTGTTATTCATTAAACCTTTTCTCTTAAGCTTTTTTTTTGAAATAATTCATATTTATGAAAGAGTTGTAAAGATAGTATATAGATTCTCCACATACCCATCAGCCATCTTCCCCTGATGTTAACCTTTTATCTAACATGGCACATTTATCAAAACTAGAAATCAACAGTGGCACAACCCTATTAACTAAACAACAGACTTTATTTGAATTACATGAGCTTCTTCACTATGTTCTTTTTTCCAAAATCCAATCCAGTACCACATTGCATTTATTTGTCATGTTTCCTTAGTCTCCTCTAATCTGTCTTTCTTTGCTTCACAACCTGTCCTTATTTCTCAGTCTTGACACTTCGGAAGATTACTGGCCAGGTGTTTTGCAGAATGTCCCTCAGTTTGGGTTTTAGCTAATATTTTCTCATGACTATACTGGGGTTACAGAACACTGCCACAGAAGTGAAGTGCCCTTCCCATCATATCATGTCAGGGGGTAAATGATTTCCATCATCTCACAGTATTGGTGAGGTAAACTTTGATCACTTGATTAAGGTGATGTGTGCCAAGTTTTCTCACTATAAAGTTACTACATTTTGCCTTTTAATACTCATGTACTTAGAAGGAAATCACCAAGTCTAGCCTACGTTTAAGGAGAGGAGAATTAGAGGTAGAAATTCTACCTCTTTGAGGTAGTAATATTAAAAAAAGCTTGTGGATATATGTTAAAACTACCATAGTAAATATATTGAAGAAAAGACTGAGACTATGTAAATACCTGTTTCTCTTTCTCTTTGATATTTTCCTACTACTTTTAGTATTCACCCATGAATCTTGTGAAAGCAAATATTGCTGGGTAATTTTCTATTTGCCTTGTTCCTCCTACACTTATTATTTATAATTATTCTGTATGAAAGGTTTGTCACTTATTTATTTTAGAGACAGGGTCTTGCTCTGTCACCCAGGCTGTAGTGCAGTGAGGCAATCATAGTTCACTGTAACCTCAAACTCCCGAGCTCAAGACATCCTCTTACCTCAGCCTCCCAAGTAGCTAGGACTACAGGCGTGTATCACCATGCCTGGCTAAATTTTATTTTTTTTGTAGAGGAGGGGTCTCCCTGTGCTACCCAGGCTGGTCTTGAACTCCTGACATCAAGTGATCCTCCTGCTTTGGCCTCACAAAATCCTGGGATTACAGGTGTAAGTGACCATGCAGCCCTATTTCTTTATTTATTGAACCATTTATTTACATGTAGGTATTCATGAGTATGAAGTTATGGATATTTATTTTACTTTTTTGTGCTATAATGCAGTGCCGTTGTTTCATTGCTCAAAAAGCTTTGCCCATTGGAGATATTTTAGGGTTTTTTTTTTTTTTTGTATTCTAAGACATCTCATTCTTTTGTCTTTTTTAAAGCACCTCCTTTTTGGTATTCATCAAAATTTTTCTATTTATTAATTAAAGCCATCTTATTAATTATTTCTTCCATTGCAATTTGTAACATTGTGCTGGTATCTTCCATGCCTATATAAACAACTCATCCAATAGCAGTAATATCTCAATTCTGCAACCTCATCAGCTCCCATGATAGTTACCTCCACTTGACTTCAGCCACTGAAGTGGCCTAGTGCTGGATTTTATCATCATCTGGAATTGCTCTACTTTTGTAATATCAGATTCAAATATTCAGTTCTTCCTGGTCTCTCAGTCTCTTCCCCCAACAATTGTTCTTTGTCTCATAGGAGCCTTCAATCTCTTCGCTTCTCTATTTTCTACCAATTCATAGAGCTTAGCACTTAGAGCCCGTGGGCCAGAACTTTGATCAGTCCTGGGTGCTACCAGTCCAAAGCACGCAACCTTGTTAGGCTGTTAGCAGCTGATGAGCTCATCTCTTGCTGCACAGAGACAATAGAAATCATCAGAAAGAACACCCTCAACTCCAGCAACAAACTGATGATCTTACCTATCCTCCTCTTATATCTTCCTCCTTTACTCTTGTTCCTCCCATAAAGGATTTGGTCATATTCCTATGTAAGGCTAATCTCCTCCACCGGGGTTCTGAATCCCATTCTCTCCCTCTTTTCTAACCACCCAGTCTCATGATTATCCTTCTATCTACCATATCTTCAAATTCTTCCTTTCTCCTGCTGCCTCCTTTACTTGAGCATGTAAAGAAAGCAAAATGAAACAAAGGCCCTTCCTCAAGTCCATGTTACCCTCTAAGTACATCCATTACATTTATTTGCCCCTTAACAGGCACACATTTTGAGGATTGTGTACTACCTGTCTTCTACTTCTTAGTCCACTATGATTCAGCTTCTGTCTTCTTGCACTATTTCACTACATTGCTCTTACCAAAGTTGCCAATGGCCTCCACATAACTAAATCCAGTGGGTACTTATCAGTCCTCACCTTACTTGATCATCCTTGTTGATCACACTCCCTTCTTAAAATCCTCATTTTATTTTGCTTCAGTGACATCTTTTATTTTTCCTCTAATTATTCTGGCTGTTCCTCTTTCTTTACATATTCTTCAGGGTTCTGATCTAGATCCCCATCTCATATCACATACATTTCTGGGGAAATTTATCTTCAACTACTATTCCGTGGCTTAAAAATTTTCATTTCAAGCCTAGACATCTCTCATGGGCCTCAGCCACAGGTATCTCTTTGCCCCCTTCATACCAACACTTGAATGTTCCTTAAGTAACCCGGATGTATACATCTACAACTAAACTCTACATCTGGCTCCTCAAGCAGGACCTCCTCTTTGATGCTTCTGTTGGTGAAAAGTATCACAATCTCCCTGTAGCTAAAATTAGAAACCCAGGGGTGGAGGGGAAGTCTTTCTTGACTCTTTTATTTCTCAAATAAGAAGCCACATCAAGAATTGCTGATTCTACTTCTTAATAGCGCTCAAGCCTTTCTATTTATGTTTATCCTCTCTGAAACCCTTTATCTCTCAGCAGGATTATGACAATAGCCTTCTAATTGTGTTCTCTGCCTCTAATCTTGTTCCCCACTAATCAATTCTCCACATGCTGCTTGTTTGACTTCCAAATGCAAATGGGAACAAATCCCTTCCTTCAATTGCTCCAGTGGTCCTTAGTCTAAAACACAAAATTCTAATCTGGATTCACAAGCCCTACCTGAGCCTGGATTATTTGTCAGGCCTCATCTGTTGCCAGCTTCTTCTTCTAAATTTATATTTTCTCTTGCCTCCAGAAATATTTTATTTTATTTTTTGCCTATAATACTCTTGTCTGCCCTTCCCCTTCTTTCAGTTCTCTCAAGTCATTCCCCCATGTCTTCCTTGACCACCTTTCTACCCCCATCAGGATTGGTTAGATGCCCTTCCTTTGTGCTCCCATAGCACCCATATCCTGTTAAAGCACTTAGCAAACAAAATGTATTGTTTACTTGCCTATCTCCCCAATAAGCACTTACTGAATACATGAATTCCTTGGATTTTTAATGAGCCATAACTACCCTCTCTGCTACCCTTCATTTTAATTTTTTTCTAGGCAAGAATTGATTTAAAGCAGAGTTTATTTCAGAAAATCGTTTCAGACACATTTCGCCATGGAAACGTTATTACAAATTGTACTTATGTTCTCAGATAATTTAATATTGTTAATAACTCATATCTTAATTAATAATTCCCCTTGGAATTTTCCTACCTATTATCATTGCTCTATAAAAATCTCAATTTTCCTTTCTGCCCGTTCCCTGTTTATCTCTCATTTTCTTCTATAGCATCTCAGCCCCATTATAGGTTAAATAGGGTTTTGTGAGTTTGGGACCTCTTTGCAACATTGTTTATTTGGGGAATGGCAAATTGCCATTCTTAGCAAGAAGAGAATGTGGTGGCACAGATAATGTTTATATTCTAGTTGAATCCACATCAGTTGGCCAATTGACTATTTCTTTGTTTATGGAAAACTGGAACGGCTAGAGGTTGTGATTGCTACAATGCCTATGACCCACTGTCAGTTACTGAAATGAGATTGCAATTTTTCTGTATATGTTTTTTCTAGACCATTGCTAAGGTACTTCGCGGTCACTAAGGATAAAAGTAATAATGAACCAGGCACAGGCCAGGTCAGCCATTTATATGTACAAATGTTGATTATTCAAGTTTATAAAACCTGGGGAAGTACACACACACACACGCCACGCAGACACACACACACACCTGTTAACCTGTTATGATTAAAAGTTATTTTGCTGACAGTATTGCTTCCTGGGTTATCAGTGTGAAAGAAAAACGTTCTATGATGCAAAGTCTCTTCTGCCTTGAGGTTGTGACTCCTTGATGAGAGTTGAACTCTCAAAAACTGAATTGGCAATTTACTGGTATCTGAGTGGTTAATGTTCAGATTCATGTTGACCCACCTCAAGAGTACATTTGGACTGCCCTCTGATTGGCAGAAGTTCTAAAACTGTGGCTGTTTGCTTCACTGTTCTTCACCTATTTAGGCTGCCTGATGCTTTTGCTGAAACAAAGCAACTCTCTTGGGCTGCCAGGTACCAAGGTTATCTGTCTCCTCATGTTGATTTTTGGCAGTCAACAGGCATGCTGCTGTGTCTTTCAGTGTCCTTGTGCAGCAACAAGGGCTTGGTTGCTGCTGGTCAAACATGAAGGTTGTTTTATTAGTGCATCAGGTACATGCAGCTACTTTGTTGCTCTATTCACCTAGACCTAATCGGCTAAGGTAAGTTTTTCAGTACACTCTTGATGTAGTTTTTCAATCATCTTTATGTCCTATAGAGTTTATGTGCAAAAGAAATCATTTTGCCTTCATATTTTAGCGGTAGCAGCTTATACTAAATTATTAAACTATAGCTTACAGTTTAGAGGCATGCTTACCAAGTTGTGTGAATAATAGTTTTATGCTTAAGCTTAGCCTGTTGACCAGGTAGTGGGTATGCTAAGAGCAATGCCTGGTCTGGTCTTTCACCTCTATGGGAGATAATATTTGGTCTAAGGATTGTAACTTGTTAGTTGGTTATCATATATTGAACCTCTAAAATGTTTAAAGCATTGGCATAGGCATTATAAGGAAGTTAAAGACTCTATGATTGTGTTAGCCACTCAAAATACATACTCATGAAATGGTCCTAAAACGATCCCATTAAGTACAAGCCTTTAAGTTAAATTTGTAGTAAATGCTGAGCTTGAAGTCAAGGAGTGATCAGAATGAGGAAAAGTTCATTCATTCAACAAATTCAAGAAAATATTTATTGAGTACCTAACTTGTGCAAAGCACTGTGCTAGGTTAGATGTTGGGGTTAACAAAATAAATCCATATGTTCACTTGCCTCAGAATCTTAAGAAGAAGACAGTATATAAGAATTACATGAGCGGCTGCTCTGTCTGTGGAGTAGCCATTCTTTTATTGCTTTACTTTAATGAACTTGCTTTCACTTTGCACTCCAGACTCACCCTGAATTCTTTCTTGTGCAAGATCCAATAACCCTCTCTTGGGGTCTGGATCAGGGTCCCTTTCCTGTAACATATTTCTGGTGACCACAGAAGTGATTATAGAGCAGAAACCCTGACCCAACGGCTACCTTTGGGTCCTGTAACACGTTTCTGGTGGACCATGGAAGGGACAATACTGAAGAGACCCCCAACCCAAAGGAAAATAATCTGTGTGCATCAGTTGGCTGACTTTGGGTAAGTGGGGTGCATATACCTGGGTAAAGAATGGGATTGGGTTAGAGGCCCAACTTAGAGGAGTTAGAGTCTCTCCTAAAACAGAGTGGGTTAGAGGCCCCTCTTTTTGTTTTTATATTACTTTAAGGTCTGGGATACATGTGCAGAACCTGCAGGTTTGTTACATACCATGTGCCATGGTGGTTTGCTGCACCTATCAACCTGCCATCTAGGTTTTAAGCCCTGCATACATTAGGTATTTGTCCTAATGCTCTCCCTCCCCTTCCCCCCAACAACCCAACAGGCCCTGGTGTATGATGTTCCCCTTACTGTGTCCATGTGTTCTCATTGTTCAACTCCCACTTATGAGTGAGAATATGTGGTGTTTGGTTTTCTGTTCCTGTGTTAGTTTGCTGAGAATGATGCCTTCCAGCTTTATCCATGTTTTTGTATATTGAACCAGCCTTGCATTGCCGGGATGAAGCCAACTTGATCGTAGTGGAGAAGCTTTTTGATGTGCTGCTGGATTTGGTTTGCCAGTATTTTATTGAGGATTTTCACATGGATGTTCATCAGGGATATTGGCCTGAAATTTTCTTTTTTTGTTGTGTCTCTGCCAGGTTTTGGTCTCAGGATGATGTTGGCCTCATAAAATGAGTTAGGAAGGAGTCCCTCTATTTCTACTGTTTGGAGTAGTTTCAGAAGGAATGGTACCAGCTCCTCTTTGCACCTCTGGTAGAATTTGGCTGTGAGTCTGTCTGGTCTTGGGCTTTTTTGGTTGGTAGGCTATTAATTACTGCCTCAATTTCAGAACTTGTTATTAGTCTACTCAGGGATTTGACTCCTTCCTGGTTTAGTCTTGGGAGGGTGTATGTGTCCAGGAATTTATCCATTTCTTCTAGATTTTCCAGTTTATTTGCATAGAGGTGTTTGTAGTATTCTCTGATGGTAGTTTGTATTTCTGTGGGATCAGTGGTGATATCCCCTTTGTCATTTTTTATTGTGTCGATTTGATTCTTCTCTTTTCTTCTTTATTAGTCTACCTAGCGGTCTATTTATTTTGTTAATCTTTTCCAAAAACCAACTCCTGGATTCATTGTTTTTTGAAGGGTTTTTCATGTCTCTATCTTCTTCAGGTCTGCTCTGATCTTAGTTATGTCTTCTGCTAGCTTTTGAATTTGTTTGCTCTTGCTTCTCTAGTTCTTTTAAGTGTGATTTTAGAGTGTCAATTTCAGACCTTTCCTACTTTTGATGTGGGTATTTAGTGCTATAAATTTCCCTCTAAACACTGCTTTAGCTGTGTCCCAGGGATTCTGGTACATTGTCTCTTTTTTCTTATTGGTTTGAAAGAACTTCTTTATTTCTGCATTAATTTCGTTATATACCCAGTAGTCATTGAGGAGCAGATTGTTCAATTTCCATGTAGTTGTGTGGTTTTGAGTGAGTTTCTTAATCCTGAGTTCTTATTTGATTGCACTGTGGTCTGAGTGACTGTTTGTTATGATTTCCATTCTTTTGCATTTGCTGAGGAGTGTTTTACTTCCAATTATGTGGTCGATTTTAGAATAAGTGCTATGTGGTGCTGAGAAGAATGTATACTCTGTTGATTTGGGGTGGAGAGTTCTGTAGATATCTATTAGGCTTGCTTGATCCAGAGCCGAATTCAAGTCCTGAATATCCTTGTTAATTTTTTGTCTCATTGATCTGTCTAATATTGACAGTGGGGGCTAAAATCTCCCACTAGTATTGTGTGGGAGTCTAAGTCTCTTCGTAGGTGGCTAAGAACTTGTTATATGAATCTGGGTGCTCCTGTATTGGGTGCATGTATATTTGGGATAGTTACCTCTTCTTGTTGCATTGATCCCTTTACCATTATCTAATGCCCTTCTTTGTCTTTTTTTGATCTTTGTTGGTTTAAAGTCTGTTTTAACAGAGACTAGGATTGCAACCCCTGCTTTTTTTTTTCTTTCCATTTGCTTGGTAAATCTTCCTCCATCCCTTTATTTTGAGCCTATGTGTGTCTTTGCATGTTAGATGGGTCTCCTGAATACAGCACGCTGATGGGTCTTGACTGTTTATTCAATTTGCCAGTCTGTGTCTTTTAACTGGGGCATTTAGCCCACTTACATTTAAGGTTAATATTGTTATGTGTGAATTTGATCCTGTCATTATGATTCTAGCTGGTTATTTTTCACATTAGTTGATGCAGTTACTTTATAGTGTCATTGGTCTTTACATTTTGATGTGTTTTTGCTGTGGCTAGTACAGTTTTTTTCTTTCTATATTTAGTGCTTCCCTAAGGAGCTCTTGTAAGGCAGGCCTGGTGGTGACGAAATCCCTCAGCATTTCCTTGTCTGTAAAGGATTTTATTACTCCATTGCTATGAAGCTTAGTTTGGCTGGATATGAAATTCTGGGTTGAAAATTCTTTTCTTTAAAAATGTTGAATATTGACCCCCACTCTCTTCTGGCTTGTAGGGTTTCTGCAGAGATATCTGCTGTTAGTCTGATGGGCTTCCCTTTGTAGGTAACCCAACCTTTCTCTCTGGCTGCCCTTAACATTTTTTCCTTCTTTTCAACCTTGGAGAATCTGACAATTATGTGTCTTGGGGTTGCTCTTCTTGAGGAGTATCTTATTGGTGTTCTCTGTATTTCCTGAATTTGAATGTTGGCCTGTCTTGCTAGGTTGGGTAAGTTCTCCTGGATAATATCCTGAAGTGTGTTCTCCAACTTTGTTCCATTCTCCCCATCACTTTCAGGTACACCAATCAGTCTTAGGTTTGGTCTTTTCACATAGTCCCATATTTCTTGGAGGCTTTGTTTGTTCCTTTTCATTCATTTTTCTCTAATCTTATCTTCATGTCTTATTTCAGTAAGGTGATCTTCAATTTCTGATATCCTTTCTTCCACTCGATCGATTTGGCTATTGATACTTGTGTATACTTCATGAAGTTCTTGTGCTGTATTTTTCAGCTTCATCTAGTGATTTAAAATTATTCCTCTCTAAACTGGTTATTTTAGTTAGCACTTCTTGTAACCTTTTTATCGAGGTTCTTAGCTTCCTTGCATTGGGTTAGAACATGCTCCTTTAGCTCAGAGGAATTTGTTGTTACCCACCTTCTGAAGCCTACTTCTGTCAATTTGTCAGTGTCATTCTCCATCCAGTTTTGTGCTCTTGCTGGAGAGGAGTTATGATCATTGGGAGGAGAAGAGGCATTCTGGTTTTTGGAATTTTCAGCATTTTTGCACTGGTTTTTCTTCATCTTCATGGATTTATCTGCCTTTGATCTTTGAGGCTGAAGACCTTTGGATGGGGTTTTTGTGTGGGGGTATTTTTTTGTTGATGTTGACGTTGTTTTCTGTTTGTTAGTTTTTCCTCTAACAGTAAGGTCCCTCTTCTGCAGGTCTGCTGCAGTTTGCTAGAGGTCCACTCCAGACCCTGTTTGCCTGGGTGTCACCAGTGGCGGCTGCGGAACAGGAAAGATTGCTGCCTGCCCCTTCCTCTGGAAGCTTTATCCCAGAGGGGCACCAATGTAATGCCAACTGGAGCTCTCCTGTAGGAGGTGTCTGTTAACCTTGTTGGGAGGTCTCTCCCAGTCAGGAGGCACAGGGATCAGGGACCCACTTGAGGAGGCAGTCTGTGCCTTAGCAGAGCTGGTGCGCTGTGCTGGGAGAATCACCCTTGTCAGGATCAGCTGCTGTCTTGAGAGCTGGCAGGCAGGAACAATTAAATCCGTTGAAGCTGTGCCCACAGTTGCCCCTTCCCCCAGGTGCTCTGTCCCAGGGAGATAAGAGTTTTATCTGTAAGCCCCTGACTTGGGCTGCTGTCTTTCCTTCAGAGATGCCCTGCCCAGTGAGGAGGAATCTAGAGAAATAGTCTGGCCACAGCTGCTTTGCCGCACTGTGGGGAATTCTGCCCAGTCCTAACCTCCCAGCCTCCTTAGCACTCTCAGGAGAAAACCACCTACTAAAACCTCAGTAATGGCAGACTCCCCTCCCCCAACCAAGATTGACTGTCCCAGGTCGACTTCAGACTGCTGTGTTGGCAGTGAGAATTTCAAGCCAGTGTTTCTTAGCTTGCTGGGCTCCATGGGAGTGGGACCTGCTCAGTGAGAACTTGGGTCTCTGGCTTCAGCCGCTTTTTCAGAGGAGTGAATGGTTCTGTCTTGCTAAGGTTCCAGGTGCCACTGGGATATGAAAAAAGCTCCTACAGCTAGCTCAGTGTCTGCCCAAACAGCTACCCAGTTTTGTGCTTGAAACCCATGGCCCTGGTGGTGTAGGCAAACGAGGGAATCTCTTGATCTCCGGATTGCAGAAACCGTGGGAAAAGCATAGTACCCGGGCCAGGTAACACAGACCCTCATGGCTTCCCTTGGCTGGGAAAGGGAGGCCCCCTGCTCCTTGCACTCCTTGAGTAAGGCAACGCCCCACCCTGCTTCTGATTGCTCTCTGTGGGTTGCACCCATTGCCTAACCAGTCCTAATGAGATGAACTGGGTACCTCAGTTGGAAATGTAGAAATCACCTGCCTTAG